>NW_012132917.1:0-165718 GCF_000001405.40 Homo sapiens | reverse complement strand
TTTGTGCTTTCAAATCACAGAGTTCAACTCACAGAGTTTAATCTTTCTTTTCATAGAGCAGTTTTGAAAAACACTTTTTTAGAATCTGCAAGTGAATATTTGGACTTTTTTTTGTCCTTCGTTGGAAACGGGATTTCTTCATATAAAACTTGACAGAAGGATTGTCAGAAACACCTTTGTGATGTGTGCATTCAACTCACGGAGGTGAACTTTCCCTTCGATAGAGCAGTTTTGAAATAATCTTTTTGTAGAATTTCCAAGTGGATATTTAGAGAGGTTTGAGGCCAGTGGTAGAAAAGGAAATATCTTCATAGAAAAACAAGACAGAATCTTTCTCAGATACTGCTTTGTGATGTGTGCATTCAGGTTACAGAGTTTAACCTTTCTTTTGATAGAGCAGTTTTGAAACACTCTTTTTGTGGAATTTGCAAGTGTATATTTAGAGAGATTTGAGGCCAACGGTAGAAAGCGATATATCTTCACATAAAAACTACAGAGAAGAATTGTCAGAAACTACGATGTGATATTTGCATTCAATTCACAGAATTGAATATTGCTCTTGATAGAGCAGTTTTGAATCAAACTTTTTGTAGAATCTGCAAGTGCATATTTGGACCACTTTGTGGCCTTCCTTTGAAACGTGATTTCTTCATATAAATCTAGACAGAAGAATTCTCAGAAACTTCCTTGTGATGTGTGCTTTCAACTCACAGAGCTGAACCTTCCTTTCGATAGAGAAGTTTTGAATTTCTCTTTTTGTAGAATTTCCAAGTGGATATTTAGCGCCATTTGAGGCCTATGGTAGAAAAGGCAATATCTTCTTAGAAAAACTAGACAGAATGATTCTCAGAAACTACATTGTGCTGTGAGCATTCAACTCACAGACTTTAAACTTTCTTTTGATAGAGCAATTTTGAAACACTCTTTAGATTCTGCAAGTGAATATTAGGACTTTTTTGAGGCCTTCGTTGGAAACAGGATTTCTTCATATAAAAACTATTTTGGATGTGTGAATTCAACTCACAGAGTTGAAACTTCCTTTCGATAGAGCAGTTTTGAAATACTATTTTTGTAGTATTTCCTAGTTGATATTTAGAGCGGTTTGGGGCCTGTGGTAGAAAAGGAAATATCTTCATAGAAAAACTAAACAGAATCATTCTCAGAAACTACTTTGTCATGTGTGCTTTTAGCTTACAGAGTATGACCTGTCTTTTGGTAGAACAGTTTTGAAACACTCTTTTTGTGGAATTTGCAAGTGTATATTTAGATCGCTTTAAGGCCTACGTTAGAAAAGGAAATATCTCCACATAAAAACTATACAGAAACATTATATCTTCATAGAAAAAATTTCAGAATGATTCTCAGAAACTACTTGTTGTTGTGTGAGTTCAACTCACAGAGTTTCATCTTTCTTTTGATAGAAGAGTTTTGAAACACAACTTTTGTAGAATCTGCAAGTGAATATTTCAAATTATTAGGGGCCTTCATTGGAAACGTGATATCTTCATATAAAACTTGACAGAAGAATTCTCAGACACTTCTTTGTGATGTGTGCATTCAACTCCCAGGGTTGAACCTTCCTTTCGATAGAGCAGTTTTGAAATACTCTTTTTGTAAATTTTCCAAGTGGATATTTAAAGTGGTTTGAGGCCTATGGTAGAAAAGGAAATATCTTCAGAGAAAAACTAGACAGAATCATTCTCATAAACTACTTTGTGTTGTGTGCATACAGCTTACATAAGTGCACCTGTGTTTTGATAGACGAGTTTTGAGACTCTGTTTCTGTGGAATTTGCGAGTGTATATTTAGAGCACTTTGAGGGCTACTGTAGAAAAGGAAATATCTTCACATGAAAACCAGATAGAAGCATTGTCAGAAACTACTTTGTAATATTTGCATTCAACTCACAGAGTTGAATATTCCTCTTGATAGAGCAGTTTTAAACACTCTTTTGGTAGAATCTACAAGTGTATATTTGGAACTCTTTGTGGACTTCCTTTGAAACGTGATTTCTTCATGTAAAAGTAGACAGATGAATTCTCAGAAACTTCTTTGTGATTTGTGCTTTCAACTCTCAGATTTGAACCTTCCTTTAGGTACAGCAGTTTTGAAACTCTCTTTTTGTAGAATTTCCAGGTGGATATTGAGCGACGTTTGAGGCCTGTGGTAGGAAAGGAAATATCTTCAAAAAAATTAGACAGAATCACTCTCAGAAACTAGTTTGTGATGTGTGCTTTCAGCTTACAGAGTTTAACCTTTCTTTTGATAGACCAGTTTTGCAACACTCTTTTTGTGGAATTTGGAAGTGTATATTTATAACGCTTTGAGGCATACGGTAGAAAAGGAAATATCTTCACATAAAAACTAGACAGAAGCATTGTCAGAAACTACTTTGTGATATTTGCATTCAACTCACAGAGTTGAACATTCTTCTTAATAGAGCAGTATTGAAACACTCTTTTTGTAGAATCTGTGAGTAGCTATTTGGACCTGTTTGTGGCCTTCCTTTGAAATGTGGTTTCTTCATCCAAAACTAGAGAGAACAATTCTCAGAAACTTCTTTCTGATGTGTGCATTCAACTCACAGAGTTGAAACTACCTTTCGATAGAGCAGTTTGGAAATACTCTTTTTGTAGGATTTCTAAGTGGATATTTAGAGTGGTTTGAGGCGTATGGTAGAAAAGGTAATATCTTCATAAAAAAACTAGACAGAATCATTCTCAGAAACTGCTTTGTGATGTGTGCATTCAGCTTACAGAGTTTAAGCTTTATTTTGATAGAGCAGTTTTGAAACACACTTTTTGTGGAATTTGCAAGTGTTGTTGATTTAGGGTGCTTTGAGGCCTACGGTAGAAAAGGAAGTATCTTCACAAAAAAAATAGACAGAAGCATTGTCAGAATCTACTTTGTGATATTTGCATTCAACTCACAGAGTTGAACGTTCCTCTTGATGGAGCAGTTTTGAAACACTCTTTTTGTTGAATCTGCAAATTAATATTTTTACTTATTTGAGGCCTTCGTTGGAAACGGGTTTTCTTCTTTTAAAACTTGACAGAAGAATTCTCAGAATCTTCTTTCTGATGTGTGCATTTATCTCCCAGAGTTGAACTTTCCTTTCGATAGAGGAGTTTTGAAACTCTCTTTTGTGGAATTTCCAAGTGGATATTTAACGCCTTTTGAGGCCTCTGGTAGAAAAGGCAATATCTTCATAGAAAAACAAGACGGAATGATTCTCAGAAACTATTTTGTTATATTTGCTTTCACCTCACGGAGTTGAACATTCTTCTTGATGATAGAGCAGTTTTGAAACATCCTTTTTGTAGAATCTGCAAATTAATATTTGGACTTTTTTGAGGCCTTCGTTGGAAAGGGGTTTTCTTCATATAAAACATGACATAAGATGTCTCAGGAACTTCTTTGTGATGTGTGCATTCAACTCCCAGAGTTGAACCTTCCTTTCAATGGAGCAGTTTTTAAATACTCTTTTTGAAGTATTTTCAACAGGATATTTTGTGTGGTTTGAGGCCTATGGTAGAAAAGGACACACCTTCGTAGAAAAACAAGACAGAATCATTCTCAGAAACAACATTCAGATGTGTGCATTCAGCTAACAGAGTTTACCCTTTCTTTTGATAGAGCAGTATTGAAACACTCTTTTTATAGAATCTGCAAGTGGATATTTGGACATCTTAGTGGCTTTTGTTTGAAAAGTGATTTCTTCATACGAAATTAGACAGAAGAGTTCTCAGAAACTTGTTTGTGATGTGTGCTTTCAACTCACAGAGATGAGCCTTCCTTTTGATAGAGCAGTTTTCAAACTCTCTTTTTGTAGAATTTCCAAGTGTATATTTAGCGCCATTTGAGGCCTATGGTAGAAAAGGCAATATCTTTATAGAAAAACTAGACAGAATGATTCCCAGAAACTACTTTGTGAGGTGTGTGTTCAATTCACAGAGTTTAACCGTTCTTTGGATAGAACAGTTCTGAAACACTCTTTTGTAGAATCCGCAAGTAAATATTTGTACTTTTTTGGGACTTCGTTGGAAATGGAATTTCTTCATATAAAACTAGACAGAAGAACTTTCAGAAACTTCTTTGTGATGTGTGCATTCAACTCACAAAGTTGAAACTTCCTTTCGATAGAGCAGCTTTGTAATAGTCTATTTGTAGTGTTTTCAAGGGGATATTTAGAGCGGTTTGAGGCCTGTGGTAGAAAAGGAAATATCTTGATAGAAAAACTAGACGTAATCAGGGTCAGAAACTAATGTGTGATATGTGAATTCAGCTTACAGAGTTTTACTTTTCTTTTGATAGAGCAGTTCTGAAACACTCTTTTTGTGGAATTTGCAAGTGTATATTTAGTGAGCCTTGAGGCCTACGGTAGAAAAGGAAATATCTTCACATAAAAACTAGACAGAAGCATTGTCAGAAACTGCTTTGTGATATTGTCATTCAACTCACAGAGTTGAACATTCCTCTTGATAGAGCAGTTTTGAAACACTCTTTTTGTAGTATCTGCAAGTGGATATTTGGATTTTTGGGGGTCCTTCTTTGGAAACGGGATTTCTTTTTATGAACCTTGACTGAAGAATTCTCACAAACTTATTTGTGATGTGTGTATTCAACTCACAGAGTTGAAACTTTCTTTCGATAGAGCAGTTTTGAAATACTCTTTTTGTAGGATTTCCAAGTGGATATTTAGAGCGGTTTGGGTCCTGTTGTAGAAAAGGAAATATCTTCATAGAAAAACTAGACCGAATCATTCTCAGAAACTACTTTGTGTTGTGTGCATTCAGGTTACAGAGTTTAAACTTCCTTTTGATACAGCAGTTTTGAAACACTCTTTTTGTGGAATTTGCAATTGTATATTTAGAGCGCTTGAGGCCTACGGTTGAAAAGGAAATATCTTCACATAGAAACTAGACAAAAGCATTGTCAGAAACTACTTTGTGATGTTTGCATTCAACTCAAAGAATTGAACATTCTTCTTGATAGAGCAGTTTTGAAACACTCTTTTTGTAGAATCTGCAAGTGGATAACTGGACCTCTTCGTGGCCATCGTTTGAAACATGATTTCTTCATATAAAACTAGACAGCAGAATTCGCAGAAACTACTTTGTGCTGTGTGCTTTCAACTCACAGATTTGAAACTTCCTTTCGATAGAGCAGTTTTGAAACTCTCTTTTTGTAGAATTTCCAAGTGGATATTCAGCGCTGTTTGAGGCCTATGGTAGAAAAGGCAATATCTTTATACAAAAACTAGACAGAATGATTCTCAGAAACTTCTTTGTGATGTGTGGGTTCAACTCACAGAGTTTAATCTTTCTTTTGATAGAGCAGTTTTGAAACACTCTTTTTGTAGAATCTGCAAGTGAATATTCGGACTTTTTTGAGGCATTCGTTGGAAACGGTATTTCATCATATAAAACTTGACAGAAGAATTGCCAGAAACTTATTTGGGAAGTGTGCGTTCAACTCACGGAGTCGAACCTTCCTTTCGAAAGAGCAGTTTTGAAATACTCTTTTTGTAGAATTTCCAAGTGGTTATTTAGTTTGCTTTGAGGCCTATGGTAGAAAAGGAAATATCTTCATAGAAAAACAAGATAGAATCATTATCAGAAACTACTTTGTTATGTGTGCTGACAGAGTGTCAGCTGACAGAGTTTAACCTTTCTTCTGATAGAGCAGTTTTGAAACACACTTTTTGTGGAATTTCTAAGTGTATATTTAGAGCGCTGTGAGGCCTATGGTAGAAAAGGAAATATCTTCACATAAAAAATAAACAGAATCATAGTCAGAAACAACATTGTGATATTTGCATTCAACTCACAGAGTTGAACATTCCTCTTTATAGAGCAGTTTTGAAACACTGTATTTGTCAAATCTGCAACTGGATATTTGGACCTATTTGTGGCGTTCGTTTGAAACGTGATTTCTTCATATAAAACTGCATAGAAGAAATCTCAGAACCTTCTTTGTGATGTGTGCTTTCATCTCACGTAGTTGAACTTTCCTTTCAACAGAGCAGTTTTGAAAAACTCTTTGTAAAGTTTCCAAGTGTTTATTTAGTGGTGTTTGAGGCCTATGGTAGAAAAGGAAATATCTTCATAGAAAATCTAGACAGAATGATTCTCAGAAACTACTTTGTGATGTGTGCGTTCAGCTCACGGAGTTTAACCTTTCTTTTGATAGAGCAGTTTTGAAACAGTCTTTTTGTAGAATCTGCAAGTGAATATTTGTACTTTTTTGAGGCCTTCGTTGGAAACCGGATTTCTTCATATAAAACTTGACAGAAGAATTCTCAGAAACTTATTTGGGTGGTGTGCATTCAACTCACAGAGTTGAACCTTCCTTTCGATAGAGTAGTTTTGAAATACTCTTTTTGTAGAATTTCCAAGTGGATATTTAGTGTGGTTTGAGGCCTATGAAAGAAAAGGAAATATCTTCATAAAAAACCAGATGGAATCATTATCAGAAACTACATTGTGATGTGTGCATTCAGCTTACAGAACTTAACCTTTCTTTTGATAGAGCAGTTTTGAAACACTGTTTTTGAGGAATATGAAATCGTATTTATTGAGTGCTTAAAGGCCTACAGTAGAAAAGGAAATATCTTCACATAAAAACTAGACAAAAGCATTGTTAGAAACTACTTTGTGATATTTGCATTCAACTCACAGAGTTGAACATTCCTCTTGATAGAGCAGTTTTGAAATACTCATTTGTAGAATCTGCAAGCAGATATTTTGACTTTTTTGAGGCCTTCTTTTCAAACGGGATTTCTTCATATAAAACTTGACAGAAGAATTGTCAGAAACTTACTTGAGAGGTGAGTATTCAACTCACAGATTTGAACCCTCCTTTCGATACAGCAGTTTTGAAATAGTCTTTTTTTAGCATTTAAAGTGGATATTTAGTGCGGTTTGAGGCCTATGGTAGAAAAGGATATGTCTTCAGAGAAAAACAAGATAGAATGATTATCAGAAACTACTTTGTGATGTGTGCATTCAGCTTGCCGAGTTTAACCTTTCTTTTCATAGATCAGTTTTGAAACACTATTTTTCTGGAATTTCCAAGTGTATATTTAGAGCGCGTTGAGGCCTATGGTAGAAAAGGAAATATCTTCACATAAAAACTAGACAGAAGCATTGTCAGAAACTACTTTGTGATATTTGCATTCAACTCACAGAGGTGAACATTCCTCTCATAGAGAAGTTTTGAAACACTCTTTTTGTAGAATCTACAAGTGTATATTTAGACCTCTTTATGGCCTTCGTTTGAAACTTGATTTCTTCATATAAAACTAGAGAGAAGAATTCTAAGAAACTTATTTGTGATGTGTGCTTTCAACTCACAGTGTTGAAGCTTCCTTTCGATAGAGCAGTTTTGAAAGTCTCTTTTTGTAGAATTTCCAAATGTATATTTGCAACACTCTTTTGGTAGAATCTGGTAGTGAATATTTGGACTTTTTGTGGCCTTCGTTGGAAACCGGATTTCTTCTTATGAAACTTGACAGAAGAATTCTCAGAAACTTCTTTGTGATGTGTGCATTCAACTCCCAGATTCGAACCTTCTTTTCGATAGAGCAGTTTTGAAATTATTCTTCTGTAGAATCTGCAATTCAATATTTGGTCTTTTTTAAGGCCTTCGTTGGAAACGAGATTTCTTCATATAAAACCTGACAGAAGAATTCTAAGAAACTTCTTTATTATGTGTGCATTCAACTCACAGAGTTGAACCTTCCTTTCGATAGAGCAGTTTCAAAATACTCTTTTTGTATAATTTCCATGGGTATATTTAGAGTGGTTTGAGGCCTGTGGTAGAAAAGGAAATATCTTCATAGACAAACTAGACAGAATCATTCTCAGAAACTACTTTGTGATGTGTGCATTCAGCTTACTGAGTTTAAACTTTCTTTTGATAGAGCAGTTTTGAAGCAGTCTTTTCTTGGAATTTGCAAATGTATATTTAGAGTGCTTTGAGGCCTACGGTAGAAAAGGAAATATCTTCACATAATAACTAGACAGAAGCGTTGTCAGAAACTACTTTGTGATATTTGCATTTAACTCACAGAGTTGAACATTCCTCTTGATAGAGCAGTTTTGAAACACTCTTTTTGTAGGATCTGCAAGTGGATATTTTGACGTCTTTGTGGCCTTCTTTTGAAAAGTGATTTCTTCATATATAATAGACAGAAGAATTCTCAGTAACTTCTTGGGGATGTGTGCTTTCAACGCAGAGAGTTGAACCTTCTTTTCGACAGAGCTGTTTTGAAACTCTCTTTTAGTAGAATTCCCAAGTGGATATTTAGAGCGGTTTGAGGCCTGTGGTAGAGAAGGGAATATCTTCATAGAAAAACTAGACAGAATCATTCTCAGAAACAACTTTGTGATGTGTGCATTCAGCTTACGTAGTTTAACCTTTCTTTTGATAGAGCAGTTTTGAAACTCTCTTTTTTTGCAATTTGAAAGTGTATATTTAGAGAGCTTCGAGGCCTACAGTAGAAAAGAAAAATCTTCACCTAAAAATTAGACAGAAGCATTGTCAGAAACTATTCTGTGATATTTGCATTGAACTCACGGAAGTGAACTTTCCACTTGATAGAGCAGTTTTGAAACAATCTTATTGTCGAATCTGCAAGTGGATGTTTGGAACTCTTTGTGGCCTTCGTTTGAAACGTGATTTATTCATATTGAAGTAGACAGAAGAATTCTCAGAAACTTCTTTGTGATGTGTGCTTTCAACTTGCAGAATTGAATTTACTTTAGGTAGAGCAGTTTTGAAACTCTCTTTTTGTAGAATTTCCAAGTGGATATTCAGTGCCGTTTGTTGCCTCTGGTATAAAAGGCAATATTTTCATAGAAAAACTAGACAGAATGATTCTCAGAAATTACTTTGTGATGTGTGCATTCAACTCACAGAGTTTAACCTTTCTTTAGATAGAGCAGTTTGGAAACACACTTTTTGTACAATCTGCATTTGAATATTTGGAATTTTTGTGGTCTTTCTAGGGAAACGTGTTTTCTTCATATAAAACGTGGCAGAAGAATTCTCAGAGACTCCTTTGTGATGAGTGCATTCAAATCACAGAGGTGAACATTCCTTTCGATAGAGCAGTTTTGAAATACTCTTTTTGTAGAATTACCAAGTGGATATTTAGAGTGGTTTGAGGCCAGTGGTAGAAAAGGAAATATCTTCATAGAAAAGCTAGGCAGAATCATTCTGAGAAACTGTTTTGTGATGTGTGCATTAAGCTTACAGAGTTTAAACTTTCTTTCCATAGAGCAGATTTGAAACACTGTTTTTGGGGAATTTGCATGTGTATAATTAGTGCACTTTGAGTAATATGATAGAAAAGGAAATATCTTAACATAAAGACTAGACAGAAGCGTTGTCAGAAACTACATTTTGATATTTGCATTGAACTCATAGAGTTGAACATTCCTCTTGGTAGAGCAGTTTTGAAACATTCTTTTTGTAGAATCTGCAAGGGGATATTTGGACCCCTTTGTGGACTTCGTTTGAAACGTGATTTCTTCATATAAATCTAGACAGAAGAATTCTCAGAAACTTCCTTGTGATGTGTGCTTTCAACCCACAGAGCTGAACCTTCCTTTCGATAGAGAAGTTTTGAATTTCTCTTTTTGTAGAATTTCCAAGTGGATATTTAGCACCGTTTGAGGCCTATGTTAAAAAGGCAATATCTTCATAGAAAAAAAATACTGAATGATTCTTAGAATCTACTTTTTGATGTGTGCGCTCAACTCAAAGAGTTTAACCTTTATTTTGATAGAGCAGTTTAGAAACACTGTTTTTGTAGAATCTGCAAGGGAATATTTGGACTTTTTAGAGGCCATCTTTTGATACGTAATTTCTTCATATAAAACTAGACAGAAGAATTCTCAGAAACTTCTTTCTGATGTGTGCTTTCAACTCACAGAATTGAAACTTCCTTTCGATAGAGGAGTTTTGAAACTCTCTTTTTGTAGAATTTTCAAGTGGATATTTAGCGCTGTTTGAGGCCTGTGGTAGAAAAGGCAATATCTTCATAGAAAAAATAGACAGAATGATTCTCAGAAACTACTTTGTGATGTGTGCGTTCAACTCACAGGGTTTAACCTTTCTTTTTATAGAGCAGTTTTGAAACACGCTTTTTGTAGAACCTGCAAGGGAACAATTTGGACTTTTTGAGGCCTTCATTAGAAACAGCATTTCTTCATATAAAACTTGACAGAAGAATTCTCAGAAACTTCTTTGTGATGTGTTCTTTCAACTCACCGTGTTGATCCTTCCTTTTGATAGAGCAGTTTTGAAACTCTCTTTTTGGAGAATTTCCAAGTGTAAAGCTTGGGTCCTTTGAGGTCTTAGGTATAAAAAGCAATATCTTCATAGAAAAACTTGACAGAATGATTCTCAGAAACTACTTTTTGATGTGGGCGTTCATCTGACAGAGATTAATCTTTCCTTTGATAGAGCAGTTTTGAAACTCTCTTTGTAGAATCTGCAAGTGAATATTTGGACTTTTTTGAGGCCTTTGGAAACGGGATTTCTTCATATAAAACCTTACAGAAGAACTCTCAGAAACTCTTTTGTGATGTGTGCATTCACCTCACAGAGTTGAACCTTCCTTTCAATACAGCAGGTTTGAAGTAATCTTTTTGTAGAATTTCGAAGTGGATATTAAGAGCCGTTTGAGGCCTATGGTAGAAAACGTAATATCTTCATAGAAAAATTAGACAGAATCATCCTATGAAACTAGTTTGTGATGTGTGCATTCAGCTAAGGGAGTTTAACCTTTCTTTTCATAGAGCAGTTTTGAAACACTCTTTTGGATAATCTGCAAGTGGATAATTGGACCTCTTTGTGGACTTCGTTTGAAACGTGATTTCTTCATATAAAACTTAACAGAAGAATTCTCAGAAACTTCTTTGTCATGTGTGCTTTCAACTCACAGAGTTGCACCTTCCTTTTGATACAGCAGTTTTGAAACTCTCTTTTTGTAGAATTTCAAAGTGTATATTTAGGGCTGTTTGAGGCCTATGGTAGAAAAGGCAATATCTTGGTAGAAAAACTTGACAGAATGATTCTAAGAAACTTCTTTGTGATGTTTGCGTTCTACTCACAGAGTTTAACCTTTCTTTTGATAGAGTAATTTTGAAACTCCTTTTGGTAGAATCTGCAAGTGAATATTTGGATTTTTGGGGGTCCTTCGTTGGAAACGGGATTTCTTCATATAAAACGTGACAGAAGAATTCTCAGAAACTTCTTTGTGATGTGTGCATTCAACTCACAGAGTTGAACGTTCCTTTCGATAGAACAGTTTTGAAATACTCTTTTTGTAGAAATTCCAAGTGGATATTTAGAGCAGTTTGAGGCCTATGGAAGAAAAGGGAATATCTTCATAGAAAAACTAGAGAGAATCATTCTCAGAAACTACATTGTGGTGTGTGCATTCAGCTTACAGAATTTAACCTTTCTCTTGATAGAGCAGTTTTGAAACACTCTTTTTGTAGACTTTCCTAGTGTATAATTGGAAAGCATTGAGGGCTAGTGTAGAAAAGGAAATATCTTCACATAAAAACTATACAGAAGCATTGTCAGAAACTACTTTGTGATATTTGCATTAAACTGACAGAATTTCCAAGTTGATTTTTATTGCTGTTTGAGGCCTATGGTAGAAAAGGCAATATCTTCATAGAAAAACTAGACAGAGTGATTCTCAGAAACTGGTTTGTGATGTTTACGTTGAGCTCACAGAGTTTAACCTTTCTTTTGATAGAGCACTTTTGACACACTCTATTTGTAGAATCTGCAAGTGAATATTTGGACTTTTATGAGGCCTTCTTTTGAAAGGGAATTACTTCATATAAACCTGACAGAAGAACTCTCAGAATCATCTCTGTGATATGCGCATTCAACTCACAGAATTGAACGTTTCTTTCCATAGTGCAGTTTTGAAATACTCTTTTTGCAGGATTTTCAAGTGGATATTTAGAGCGGTTTGAGGCCCACGGTAGAAAAGGAAATATGTTGATATCAAAAGTAGACAGAATCATTCTCTGAAACTACTTTGTGATGTGTGCCTTTAGTTTAGGGAGTTTAACCTTTCTTTTCATAGAGCAGTTTTGAAACACTCTTTTCGTAGAATTTGCAAGTGTATATTTGGAACGCTTTGAGGTCTAGTGTAGAAAAGGAAATATCTTACCATAAAAACTAGACAGAGGCATTTTCAGAAACTGCTTCGTGATATTTGCCTTCAAATGACAGAATTTCCAAGTGGATTTTTAGTGTCGTTTGAGGACTATGGTAGAAAAGGCAACATCTTCATAGAAAAACTAGACAGAGTGATTCTCAGAAACTACTTGGTGATGTATGCGTTTAATTCAGGGAGTTTAACCTTTCTTTTGACAGAGCGGTTTTTAATCTCTCTTTTTGTGGAATTTGCAAGTGTATATTTGGAGCGCTTTGAGGTCTGCCGTACAGAAGGAATTATCTTCACATTGAAACTAGACAGAAGCATTTTCAGAAACTAGTAGGTGATATTTGCATTCAACTCACAAGGAAGAACATTCCCCTTGATAGAGTAGTTTTGAAAAACTCTTTTTGTAGGATCAGCCATTGAATATTTTGACGTTTGTGGGGCTTTAATTTGAAACGTGGTTTCTTCATATAAAACGTGACAGAAAAATTCTCAGAAACTACTTTGTGATGTGTGCATTCAACTCAGAGAGTTCAACCTACCTTTCGATAGAGCAGTTTTGAAATACTTTTTTTGTAGAATTTCCAAATGGATATTTAGAGCGGTTTGAGATCTGTAGTAGAAAAGAAAATATCTTCATATAAAAATTAGACAGAATCATGGTCAGAAACTACTTGGTGATGTGTGCATTCAGCTAACAGAGTTTACCCTTTCTTTTGATAGAGCAGTTTTGAAACAGTTTTTTCAGGAATTTGCAGTTGTATATTTAGAGCGCTTTGAGTCCTACAGTAGAAAAGGAAATATCTTCACATAAAAACAAGACAGAAGCATTGTCAGAAACTATTTGGTGATATTTGCATTCAACTCACAAAGTTGAACATTCCTCTTGATAGTGCAGCTTTGAAACACTCTTTGTGTAGAATCTGCAAATGGATATTTGGACCTCTTTGTGGCCTTCGTTTGAAACGATGTTTCTTCATATAAAACTAGACAGAAGAATTCTCAGAAACTTCTTTGTGATGTGTGCTTTCAACACACAGAGTTGAAACTTCCTTTCGATAGAGCAGTTTTGAAACTCTCTTTTTGTAGTATTTCCAAGTGGATATGTAGCGCCGTTTGAGGCCTATGGTAGAAAAGGCAATATCTTCATAGAAAAACTAGACAGAATGATTCTCAGAAACTACTTTGTGATGTGTGCATTCAACTCACAGAATTTAACGTTTCTTTTGATAGAGCAGTTTTGAAACACTCTTTTTGTAGAATCTGCAAGTGACTATTTGGACTTTTTGGGAGTCTTCGTTGGAAACCGGATTTCTTCATATAAAGCTTGACAGATGAATTCTCAGAAACTTCCTTGTGATGTGTGCATTCAACTCACAGAGTTGAACCTGCCTTTCGATTCAGCAGTTTTGAAATACTCTTTTTGTATAATTTCCAAGTGGATATTTACAGCTGTTTGAGGCCTGTGGTACAAAAGGAAATATCTTCATAGAAAAAGTAGACAGAATCATTCTCAGAAACTACTTTGTGATATGTGCATTCAGCTTACAGAGTTTAACGTTTATTTTGATAGAGCAGATTTGAAACACTTTTTTTTTGCAATTCGCAAGTGTATATTTAGAGCGGTTTGAGACCTACGGTAGAAAAGGAAATATCTTCACATAAAAACTAGACAGAAGCATTGTCAGAAATTAATTTGTGATATTTGCACTCAACTCACAGAATTGAACATTCCTCTTGATAGAGCAGTTTTGAAACACTATTTTTGTGGAATCTGTGAGTGGACATGCAGACGTCTTTGTGGCCTTCGTTTGAAACGAGATTTCATCATATAAAACTAGACAGAAGAATTCTCAGAAGCTCCCTTGTGATGTGTGCTTTCAACTCACAGAGTTGAACCTTCCTTTCGATAGAGCAGTTTTAAACTCTCTTTTTGTAGAATTTCCAAGTGGATATTTAGCGCCGTTTGAAGCCTATAATAGAAAAGGCGATATCTTCATAGAAAAACAAGACAGAATGATTCTCAGAAACGACTTTGTGTGGTGTCCGTTCAACTCACAGAGTGTAACCTTTCTTTTGATAGAGCGGTTTTGAAACTCTCTTTTTGTAGAATCTGCAGGTGGATATTTCAAACTGTTTGTGGCCATCGTTCGTAATGTGATTTCTTCATTTAAAACTAGACAGAAGAATTCTCAGAAACATCTTTGTGATGTCTGCTTTCAACTCACAGAGTTGAAACTGCCTTTTGATAGAGCAGTTTTGAAACTCTCTTTTTTTTAGAATTTTCAAATGGATATTTGGCGCCCTTTGAGGCCTATTGTAAAAAAGGCATTACCTTTTGTAGTATCTCCAAGTGAATATTTGGACTTTTTGATGCCTTAGTTGGAAACGGAATTTCTTCAAATAAAAATTGACAGAAGAATTCTCAGAAACTTCCATGTGATGTGTGCTTTCAACTCACAGAGTTGAACCTTCCTATCGATAGAGCGGTTTTGAAACTCTCTTTTTATAGAATTTCCAAGTGGATATTTAGCTCCTTTTGAGGCCTATGGTAGAACAGGTAATATCTTCATAGGAAAACTAGACAGAATGATTCTCAGAAATTACTTTGTGGTGTGTGTGTTAAATTCAAAGAGTTTAACCTTTCTTTTGATAGAGCAGTTTTGAAACACTCTTTTTGTAGAATCTGCAAGTGAATATTTGGACTTTTTTGAAGCTTTCTTTGGAAACAGGATTTCTTCATATAAAATTTGACATTAGAATTCTCAGAAAATTCTTTGTGATATGTGCATACAACTCACTGATTTGAACCTTCCTTTCGATAAAGCAGTTTTGAAATTCTCTTTTTGTAGAATTTTCAGGTGGCATTTAGAGCCGTTTGAGGCCTAAGGTAGAAAAGGCAATATCTTCATAGAAAAACTAGACAGAATGATTCTCAGAAACTACTTTGTGGTGTGTGCGTTCAACTCACAGAGTTTAACCTTTCTTTGGATAGAGCAGTTTTGAAACACTCTTTTTGTAGGATCTGCAAGTGAATATTTGAACTTTTTTGAGGCCTTCGTTGGAAATTGGATTTCTTCATATAAAACTTGACAGAAGAACTCTCAGAAACTTCTCTGTGATGTGTGCTTTCAACTCACAGAGTTGAATCTTCCTTTCGATAGGGCAGTTTTGAAATTCTCTTTTTGTAGAATTTCCAACTGGATATTTAGAGCGGTTTGAGGCCTATGCTAGAAAAGGAAATAGTTTCATAGAAAAACTAGACAGAATCATTCTCAGAAACTATTTTTGATGTGTGCATTCAGCTTACAGAAGTTAGCCTTCCTTTTCATAGAGCAGTTTTGAAACAATCTTTTGGGGAATGCGCAAGTGTATATATTGAGCGCTTTGAGGCCTACCGTATAAAAGGAAATATCTTCACATAAAAACTAGACAGAAGCATTGTCAGAAACTACTTTATGATATTTGCATTCAATTTACAGAGTTGAACATTCCTCTTGATAGAGCAGTTTTGAAACACTCTTTTTGTAGAATCTCCAGGTGGATATTTGGACCTCTTTGTGGCCTTCGTTTGAAACGTGATTTCTTCTTATAAAACGATACAGAAGAAGTCTCAGAAACATATTTGTGATGTATGCTTTCAACTCACATAGTTGAACCTTCCTTTCGACAGGGCAGTTTTGAAACTCTCTTTTTGTAGAATTTCCAAGTGGATATTCAGCGCCGTTTGAGGCCTATGGTTTAAAAGCAAATAACTTCATAGAAAAACTAGACAGAATTATTCTCAGAATCTACTTTGTGATGTGTGCGTTCAAGTCACAGAGTTTAACCTTTCTTTTGATAGAGTAGCTTTGAAACACTCTTTTTGCCGAATTTACAAGTGAATATTTGGACTTTTTTTAGGCCTTCTTTGGAAACGGGATTTCTTCATATAAACTTGACAGAAGAATTCTCAGAAAATTCTTTGTGAAATGTGCATTCAACTCAAATGTTTGAACCTTCCTTTCTATAGAACAGTTTTGAAATTCTCTTCTTTTAGTATTTCCAAGTGGATATTTAGAGCTGTTTGGGGCCTATGGTAGAAAAGGAAATATCTTCATAGAAAAACTAGACAGAATCATTCTCAGAAACTACTTTGTGAAGTTTGCATTCAGCTTACAGAGTTTAACCTTTCTTTTGATAGAGCAGTTTTGAAACACTCTTTTTGTGGAATTTGCAAGTGTATATTTAGAGCGCTTTGAGGCATACGGTAGAAAAGGATATATCCTCACATAAAAATTAGACAGAAGAATTGTCAAAAAATAATTTGTATCTTTGCATTCAACTCACGGAGTTGAACATTCCTCTTTATAGAGCAGTTTTGAAACACTCTTTATGTATTATCTGCAAGTGGATATTTGGACTTCTTTGTGGCCTTCTTTTGAAACGTGATTTCTTCATATAAAACTAGGCAGAAGAATTCTCAGAAACTTCTTTGAGATGTGTGCTTTCAACTCACAATGTTAAACCTTCCTTTCGATAGAGCAGTTTTGTAACTCTCTTTTTGTAGAATTTCCAAGAGGATATTTAGCGCCTTTTGATGCCTATGGTAGAAAAGGCAATATATTCACAGAAAAATTAGACAGAATGATTCTCAGAAACTGCTTTGTGATGTGTGTGTTCAACTCCCAGTGTTTAACTTTTCTTTTGATAGAGCAGTTTTGAAACACTCTTTTTGTAGAATCTGCAAGTGAATATTTGGACTTTTTTGAGGCCTTTTTGGAAAGGGGATTTCTTCATATAAAACGTGACAGAAGAATTCTCAGAAACTACTTAGTGATATGTCAATTTAACTCACAGAGTTGAACCTTCCTTTCGATAGAGCAGTTTCAAAATACTCTTTTTGTAGGATTTCCAAGTAGAAATTTAGAGCTGGTTGAGACCTGTGGTAGAAAAGGGAATATCTTCATAGAAAAACTAGAGAGAATCATTCTCAGAAATTAATTTGTGATGTGTGCATTTAGCTTACAAAGTTTAACCTTCCTTTTTATAGAGCATTTTTGAAAAACTCTTCTTGTAGAATTTCAATGTGGATATGTAGCGCCGTTTGAGGTCTATGGTAGAAAAGGCAATATCTTCATAGAAAAACTAGACAGAATGATTCTCAGAAACTGCTTCGTGATGTGTGCGTTCAACTCACAGAGATTAACACTTCTTTTGATATAGCAGTTTTGAAACACTCTTTTTGTGGAATTTGCAAGTGTATATTTAGAGCGCTTTGAGAGTCATATTCAGCTTTCAGAGTTTAACCAATCTTTTGATACAGCAGTGCTGAAACTCTCTTTTTGTGGAATTTTCAAGTGTATATTTAGAGTACTTTGAGGCCAACGATAGAAAAGGAAATATCTTCACATAATAAGTAGACAGAAGCATTGTCAGAAAGTACTTTGTGATATTTGCATTCAACTCACAGAGTTGAACACTCCTCTTCATGGAGCAGTTTTGAAACACTCTTTTTGTAAAATCTGCAAGTGGATATTTGGACCTCTTTGTGGCGTTCGTTTGAAAAGTGATTTCCTCATATAAAACTAGACAGAACAATTCTTAGAAACTTCTTTGAGATGTGTGCATTCAACTCACAGAGCTGAACTTTCCTTTCGATACAGCAGTTTTGAAATACTCTTTTGTAGTATTTCCAAACGGATATTTTTAACGTCGTTTGAGGCCTATGGTAGAAAAGGAAATATCCTCTTAGAAAAACTAGACAGAATGATTCTCAGAAACTACTTTGTGATGTGTGCTTTTAACTCACAAAGTTTAACCTTCCTTTTGATAGAGCAGTTTTGAAACACTTTTTGTAGAATCTGCAAGTGAATATTTGGAATTTTTTCAGGCCTTCGTTGGAAACGGGATTTCTTCATATAAAACTTGTCAGAAGAATTCTAAGAAACTTCTTTTTCATGTGTGCATTCAACTAACAGATTTGAACCTTCCTTTTGATAGAGCAGTTTGAAACACTCTTTTTTTAGAAACTGCAAGTTGATATTGGGACCTCTTTGTGGTCTTCGTTTGAAACGCGAATTCTTCACATAAAACTAGACGGAAGAATTCTCAGAAAATTCTTTGTAATGTGTGCTTTCAAGTCACAGAGTTGAACCTTCCTTTCAATCGAGCAGTTTGAAACTCTATTTTTGTAGAGTTTCCAAGTGGATATTAAACGTCGTTTGAGGCCTACAGTAGAAAAGGCAATATCTTCATAAATAACTAGACAGAATGATTCTCAGAAAGTACTTTGTGATGTGTGTGTTCAACTCACAGAGTTTAACCTTTGTTTTGATAGCGCAGTTTTAAAACACTCTTTTTGTAGAATCTGCAAGGGAATATCTGGACTTTCTTGAGGTCTTCGTTGGAAATGGGATTTCTTTATATAAAACTTGACAGAAGAATTCTCAGAAACTTCTTTGTGATGTGTGCATTCAACTGAGAGAGTTGAACCTTCCTTTCGATACAGCAGTTCTGAAATACTCTTTTTGTACTATTTCCAAGTGGATATTTAGCACAGTTTGAGGCCTATGGCAGAAAAGGAAATATCTTCACAGTAAAACTAGACAGAATGATTATCAGAAACTACTTTGTGAGGTGAGTGTTCAACTCACAGAGTTTAACCTTTCCTTTGACAGAGCAGTTTTGAAACACTCTTTTTGTAGAATCGGCCAGCGGATATTTGAACCTCTTTGCGGCCTTCGTTTTAAATGTGATTTCTTCATATAAATCTAGACAGAAGAATTCTCAGAAACTTCTTCGTGATGTGTTCTTTCAACTCAACGAGTTGAACCTTCCTTTGGATGGAGCAGTTTTGAAACTCTCTTTTTGTAGAATTTCCAAGAGTATATTTAGCGACGTTTGAGGCCTATGGTAGAAAAGGAAATACCTTCGTAGAAAAACTAGACAGAATGATTCCCAGAAACTACATTGTGATGTGTGGATTAAACTCACAGAGTTTAACCTTTATTTTGATTGAGCAGTTTTCAAACACCCTTTTTATATAATGGGCAGGTGAGTATTTGGCCTTTTTTGGGGCCTTCGTAGGAAACGGGATTTCTTCCATTATAACTTGACAGAAGAATTATCAGAAACTTCGTTGTGATGTGTGCATTCAACTCACAGAGTTAAACCTTCTTTCGATAGAGCAGTTTTGAAATACTCTTTTTTTAGAATTTCCAGGTTGATATTTAGAGTGGTTTGAGGCCTTTGGTATAAAAGGACATATCTTCATAGAAAAACAAGACAGAATAATTCTCTGAAACAACGTTGTAATGTGTGAATTCAGCTTACAGAGTTTAACCTTTCTTTTGATAGAGCAGTTTTGAAACACGGTTTTTGTAGAATCTGCAAGTGAATATTTGGACTTTTTTGTGGCCTTCGTTGGAAATGGGATCTCTTCATATAAAACTTGACAGAATAATTCTCAGAAACTTCTTTGTGATGTGTGCATTCAACTCAAAGTGTTGAACCTTCCTTTCGATAGAGCAGTCTTGAAATACTCTTTTTGTAGAATTTCCCAGTGGATATTTACAGTGGTTTGAGGTCGGTGGTAGAAAAGGAAATATCTTCATAGAAAAACTAAACAAAATCATTCTCAGAAACTACTTTGTGATGTGTGCATTCAGCTTACAGAGTTTAAAATTTCTTCTGATAGAGAAATTTTGAAACAAACTTTTTGTGGTATTTGCGGTTGTATATTTAGAGCGCTTTGAGGCCTACTGTAGAAAAGGAAATATCTTCACATAAAAACTATACAGAAGCATTTTTGGAAACTGATTTGTGATATTTGCATTCAACTCACAGAGTTGTAAATTACTCTTGATAGAGCAGTTTTGAAACACTCTTTTTGTAGAAGCTGAGAGAGTGTATTTGGACCTCTTTCTGGCCTTCGTTTGAAACGTGATTTCTTAATATAAAAGTAGAGAGAAAAATTCTCAGAAACTTCTTTGTGATATGTGCTTTCAACTCACAGAATTGAACCTTCCTTTTGATAGAGGATTTTTGAAACTCTCTCTTTGTTGAATTTCCAAGGGGATATTTAGCGCCGTTTGAGGCCTATTGTAGAAAAGGCAATATCTTCATAGAAAACAGACAGAATGATTCTCAGAAACTACTTTGTGATGTGTGTGTTCAACTCACAGAGTTTAACCTTTCTTTTGATAGAGCAGTTTTGAAACACACTTTTTGCAGAATCTGCAAGTGAATATTTGCAATTTTGGGAGGCCTTCTTTGGAAACGAGATTTCTTCATATAAAACGTGACAGAATAATTCTCAGAAACTTCTTTGTGATGTGTGCGTTCAGCTTACAGAGTTTAACATTTCTTTAGATGAGCAGTTTTGTAACACTCTTTTTGCAGAACTTGCAAGTGTAAATTTAGAGCGCTTTGAGGCCTACAGAATATTAAATATCTTCATAGAAAAACTAGACAGAATCATTCTCAGAAACTACTTTATGCTGTGTGGGTTAAACTCACAGAGTTCAATATTTCTTTTGATAGATAAGTTTTGAAACAGTCTTTTTATAGAATCTGCAAGTGAATATTTGGACATTTTGAAGCCTTCCTTGGAAACGGAATTTCTTCATGTAAATCTTGACAGAAGAATTCTCAGAAACTTCTTCGTGATGTGTGCATTTAACTCACAGAGTTGAACCTTCCTTTTGATAGAGCAGTTGTGAAATACTCTTTTTGTAGAATTTCCAAGGGTCTATTTAGAGCAGTGTGTGGCCAGTGGTAGAAAACGAAATATCTTCCTAGAAAAACTATACAGAATCATTCTCAGAAATTACTTTGTGATGTGTGCATTCAGCTTACGGAGTTTAACTTTTCTTTTGACAGAGCAGTTTTGTAAAACTCTTTTTGTAGAATTTGCAAGTGCATATTTAGAGCGCTTTGAGTCCTGAGGTAGAAAAGGAAATATCTTCACCTAAAAACTAGACAGAAAAAATGTCAGAAAGTACTTTGTGATATTTGCATTCAACTCACGAGTTGAACATTCCTCTTGATAGAGCAGTTTTGAAACACTCTTTTTGTAGAAGCTGAGAGAGGGTATTTGGACCTCTTTCTGGCCTTCGTTTGAAACGTGATTTCTTCATATAAAACTAGACAGAAGAATTCTCAGAAACTTCTTTGTGATGTGTGCTTTCAAATCACAGAGTTAAACCCTCCTTTCGTAGAGCAGTTTTGAAACTCTCCTTTTGTAGTATTTCCACGTGGATATTTAGCGTCATTTGAGGCATATTGTAGAACAGGAAATATCCTCATTGAAAAGCTAGACAGAATGATTCTCAGAAACTTCTTTGTGATGTGTGCGTTCAACTCACAGACTTTAACCTTTCTTTTGGTACAGCAGTATTGAAACAGTCTTTTTGTAGAATCTGCAAGTGAATATTTGGACCTTTTTGAGGCCTTCATTGGAAACGGGATTTCTTCATATAAAATATGACAGAAGAATTCTCAGAAACTTCTTTGTGATTTGTGCATTCAACTCACAGTTTTGAACCTTCCTTTCAATAGAGCAGTTCTGAAATACTCTTTTTGTAGAATTTCCAAGTGGATATTTAGAGCGGTTTGAGGCCTGTGGTAGAAAAGGAAATATCTTCATAGAAAAACTATACAGAATCATTCTCAGAAACTACTTTGAGATGTGTTAATTAAGCTTACAGAGTTTAAAATTTCTTTTGATAGAGCAGTTTTGAAACAGTCTTTTTGTGGAGTTTGCAAATGTTTATTTAGAGCACTTTGAGGCATACCGAAGAAAAGGAAATATCTTCACATAAAAACTAGATAGAAGCATTGTCAGGAACTTCATTGTGATATTTGCATTCAACTCACATAGTTGAACATTCCTCTTGATAGAGCATTTGTGAAACACTCTTTTTGTAGAATCTGCAATTGTATATTTGTACCTCCTTGTGGCCTTCGTTTGAAAAGTGATATCTTCATATAAAAGTAGACGGAAGAATTCTCAGAAACTTCTTTGTGATGTGTGCTTTCAAATCACAGAGTTCAACCTTCCTTTCGTAGAGCAGTTTTGAAACCCTCCTTTTGTAGTATTTCCAAGTGGATATTTAGCGCCGTTTGAGGCTTATGTTAGAACAGGTAATATCTTCACTGAAAAACTAGACAGAATGATTCTCAGAAACTTCTTTGTGATATGTGCGTTCAACTCACAGACTTTAACCTTTCTTTTGGTAGAGCAGTATTGAAACAGTCTTTGTGTATAATCCGCAAGTGAATATTTGGACTTTTTTGAGGCCTTCGTTGGAAACGGTATTTCTTCATATAAAATTTGACAGAAGAATTCTCAGAAACTTCTTTCTGATGTGTGCATTCAAGTCACAGAGTTCAACCTTCCTTTCGATAGAATGGTTGCGAAATACTCTTTTGGTAGAATTTCCAAGTGGATATTTAGAGCGGTTTGAGGCCAGCGGTAGAAAAGGAAATATCTTCATAGAAAAACTGGACAGAATCATTCTCAGAAACTTCTTTCTGATGTGTGCATTCAAGTCACAGAGTTCAACCTTCCTTTCGATAGAATGGTTGCGAAATACTCTTTTGGTAGAATTTCCAAGTGGATATTTAGAGCGGTTTGAGGCCAGCGGTAGAAAAGGAAATATCTTCATAGAAAAACTGGACAGAATCATTCTCAGAAACTACTTTGTGATGTGTGCGTTCAGCTTACAGAGTTTAACATTTCTTTAGATGAGCAGTTTTGTAACACTCTTTTTGCAGAATCTGCAAGTGGATATTTGGACCTCTTTGTGGCCTTCGTTTGAAACATGATTTTTTCATATAAAACTAGACAGAAGAATAATGAGAAACTTCTTTGTGACGTGTGCTTTCAACTCACAGAGTTGAACCTTCCTTTCGATAGAGCAGCTTTGAAACTCTCTTTTTGTACAATTTCCAAGTGGATATAAAGAGTCCTTTGATGCCTGTGGTATAAAATTAAATTTCTTCGTAGAAAAATTTGACAGAATGATTCTCAGAAACTACTTTGTGGTGTGTGCGTTGAACTCACAGAGTTTAACCTTTCTTTTGATAGAGCAATTTTGAAACACTCTTTTTGTAGAATCTGCAAGTGAATAGTTGGGATTTTGGGGGGCCTTCGTTGCAAACGTGATTTCTTCATATAAAACGTGACAGAAGAATTCTCAGAAACTTCTTTGTGTTGTGTGCATTCAACTCATGGAATTGAACCTTCCTTTCGATAGAGCAGTTTTGAAATAATCTTCTTGTGGAATTTCCAAGTGGATATTTAGAGCAGTTTGAAGCTTGTGGAAGGAAAGGAGATATCTTTTTTTCAAAAACGAGACAGAATCATTCTATGAAACTTCTTTGTGATGTGTGCATTCAGCTTACAGAGTTTACCCTTTCTTTTGATAGAGCAGCTTTGAAACACTTTTTTTGTTGTATTTGCCTGTGTATATTTAAAGAGCTTTGAGGCCTAGGGAAGAAAAAGAAGTATCTTCACATAAAAACTAGGAAGAAGCATTGTCAGAAACTACTTTATGATATTTGCATTCAACTCACAGAGTTGAACATTCCTCTTGATAGAGCAGTTTTGAAACACTCTTTTTGTATAATCTATGAGAGGGTATTTGGACCTCTTTGTGGCCTTCGTTTGAAACGTGATTTCTTCATATAAAACTAGACAGAATAATTCTCAGAAACTTCTTTGTGAAGTGTGCTTTCAACTCACAGAGTTGAACCTTCCCTTCAATAGAGGAGTTTTGAGACTCTCTTTTTGTAGTATTTCCAAGTGGATATTTAGCGCCGTTTGAGGCCTATGTTAGTAAAGGCAATATGTTCATAGAAAAATTAGACAGAATAATTCTCAGAAACTACTTTGTGATGTCTGCGTTCAACTCACAGAGTTTAACCTTTCTTTTGATAGAGCAGTTTTGAAACAATGTTTTTGTAGAATCTGCCAGTGAATATTCAGACTTTTTTGGGGACTTTATTGGAAACGGGACATCTTCCTATAAATAATGACTGAAGAACTCTCAGAACCTTCTTTGTGATGTGTGCATTCAAACCACAGTGTTGAACCTTCCTTTCGATAGAGCAGTTTTCAAATACTCTTTTTGTAGAATGTCTATGTGGATATTCAAAGCGGTTTGAGGCCTATGGTAGAAAAGGAAATATCTTCATAGAAAAACTAGTCCGATTCATTGTCACAAACTGCTTTGTGGTGTGTGCACTCAGCTTACGGAGTTTAACCTTTCCTTTGATAGAGCAGTTTTGAAAAACTCTTTTTGTGGAATTTGCAACTGTATATTTAGAGCGCTTTGAGGCCTACTTTAGAAAAGGAAATACCTTCATATAAATGATAGAAAGAAGCATTGTCAGAAACTACTTTGTGATATTTGCATTCAACTCACAGAGTTGAACATTCCTCTTGATAGAGCAGTTTTGAAACACTCTTTTTGAAGAATCTGCAAGTGGATATTTGGACCTCTTTGTGGGTCTTTTTTGACACGTTAATTCTTCATGTAAAACTAGAAAGAAGAATTCTCAGAAACTACTTTGTGATGTGTTCTTTCAACTCACCGAGTTGAACCTTCCTTTCGGTAGAGCAGTTTTGAAACTCTCTTTTTGTAGAATTTTCAAGTAGATATTTAGTGTCGTTTGAGGCCTATGGTAGAAAATGCAATATCTTCATAGAAAAACTAGACAGAATGATTTTCAGAAACTACTTTGTGATGTGTGTGTTTGACTCACAGAGTTTAAACTTTCTTATGATAGAGCAGTTTTGAAACACTCTTTTTGTAGAATCTGCAATTGAATATTAGGACTTTTTTGAGACCTTCTTTGGAAACGGGATTTCTTCATATAAAACTAGACAGAAGAATTCTCAGAAACTTCTTTGTGTTGTGTGCATTCAACTGACGGATTTGAACCTTCCTTTCGATAGAGTAGTTTTGAAATACTCTTTTTGTACAATTTAAAAGTCGATATTTAGACTGGTTTGAGGTCTGTTGCAGAAATGGAAATATCTTCTGAAAAACCAGACAGAATCTTTCTCAGAAACTACCTGTGATGTGTGCATTCAGCTTACAGAGTTTAACCTTTCTTTTGTTAGAGCAGTTTTGAAACACTCTTTTTGTGGAATTTGCAAGTGTATATTTAGAGCGCTTTGAGGCCTACGGTTAGAAAGGAAATATCTTCACATAAAAACAAGACAGAAACATTGTCAGAAACTACATTGTGATATTTGTATTCAACTCACCTAGTTGAACATTCCTCTTGATAGGGCAGTTCCGAAACACTCTTTTTCTAGAATCTACAAGTGGATATTTGGACCTTTTTGTGGCCTTCCTTTGAAACGTGATTTATTCATATAAACCTAGGCAGAAGAATTCTCAGAAACTTCTTTGTGATATGTGCTTTCAACTCACAGAGTTGAAACTTTCTTTCGATAGAGCAGCGTTGAAACACTCTTGTTGTAGAATTTTCAAGTGGACATTTAGCGCCGTTTGAGGCCTGTGGTAGAAAAGGCAACATCTTCACAGAAAAACCAGACAGAGTGATTCTCAGAAATTACTTTATGTTATGTGCTTTCAACTCACAGAATTTAACCTTCCTTTAGATAGAGCAGTTTTGAAACACTGTTTTTGTAGAATCTAAAAATGAATATTTGGACTTTTTTGAGGCCTTCGTTGGAAACGGTATTTCTGCATGTCAAACTTTACAGAAGAATTCTCAGAAACTTCTTTGTGATGTGTGCATTCAGTTGACTGAGTTGAACGTTCCTTTCAATACAGCAATTTTGAAATGCTCTTTTTGTATAATTTCCAAGTGGATATTTAGAGCAGTTTGAGGCCTGTGGTAGAAAAGGAAATATCTTCATAGAAAAACTAGACAGAATCATTCTCAGAAACTACTTTGTGATGTGTGCATTCAGCTTACAGAGTTTAACCTTTCGTTTGATAGAGCAGTTTTGAAACAGTCTTTTTGTGGAATTTGCAAGTGAATATTTAGAGCACTTTGAAGCCAACTGTAGAAAAGGAAATATCTTCACATAAAAACTAGACAGAAGCATTGTCAGAAACTACTTTGTGATATTTGCATTCAACTCACCGAGTTGAACATTCCTCTTGATAGAGCAGTTTTGAAACACTCTTTTTGTGGAGTCTGCAAGTGGATATTTGGACTTCTTTGGGGCCTTCGTTTTGAACGTAATTTCTTCATATCAATCTCGACAGAAGAATTCTCCGAAACTTGTTTGTGATATGTGCATTCAAGTCACAGAGTTGTATCTTCCTTTCGATAGAGCAGTTCTGAAACTCTCTTTTTGTAGAATTTCCAAGTGGATATTTAGCGCCTTTTGAGGCCAGTGGTAGAAAAGGCAATGTCTTCATAGAAATATTAGACAGAATGATTCTCAGAAACTACATTGTGCTGTGTGCGTTCAACTCACAGAGTGGAATCTTTCTTTTGATAGAGCAGTTTTGAAACAATGTTTTTGTAGAATCTGCAAGTGAATATTTGGAGTTTTTGGGGGCCTTCGTTGGAAACGGGAATTCTTCACATAAATCGTGACAGAAGAATTCTCAGAAACTTCTTTGTGATGTGTGCATTCAGCTGACAGAATTGAACCTTCCTTTCAGCAGAGCAGTTTTGAAATACTCTTTTTGTAGAATTTCCAAATGGTTATTTATAGCTGTTTGAGGCCTGTGGTAGAAAAGGAAATATCTTCATAGAAAAACTGGACAGAATCATTCACAGAAACTGCTTTGTGATGTTTGCATTCAGCTTTCAGAGTTTAATCTTTCTTTTGATAGAGCAGTTTTGAAACACTGTTTTTGTAGAATCTGCATGTGAATATTTGGACTTTCTGGGTTCCTTCATTGGAAACGGGAATTCTTCATATAAAAGGTGACAGAAGAATTATCATTAACTTCCTTGTGATATGTTCATTCAACTCACAGAGTTGAGAATTCCTTTCGATAGAGCAGTTTTGAAGTAGTCTTTTGGTAGAATTTCCAAATGGATATTTCGAGCTGTTTGAGGCCTGTGGTAGAAAAAGAAATATCTTCATAGAAAAGCGAGACAGAATCATTCTGAGAAACTGTTTTGTGATGTGTGCACTCAGCTTACAGAGTTTAACATTTCTTTTGATAGAGCAGTTTTGAAACACTCTTTTTGTGGAATTTGCCAGTGTATATTAGAGCGCTTTGAGGCCTAAGGTAGAAAAGGAATTAACTTCACATAAAAACTAGACAGAAGCATTGTCAGAAACTACTTCATGATATTTGCATTCAACTCACAGAGTTGAACATTCCTCTTGATAGAGCATTTTTGAAACACTCTTTTTCTGGAATCTGTGAGTGGATATTTTGACCTCTTTGTGGCCTTCGTTTGAAATGTGATTTCTTCATATAAAACTAGACAGAAGAATTCTCAGAAACTTCTTTGTGATGTGTGCATCCAACTCACAGAATTGAACCTTCCTTTTGTTAGAGCAGTTTTGAAATACTCTTTTTGTAGTATGTCCAAGTGGATATTTAGAGCGTTTTGAGGCCTGTGGTAGAATATGAAATATCTTCATAGAAAAACTAGACAGAATCATTTACAGAAACTACTTGGTGATGTGTGCATTCAGCTTACAGAGTTTAATCTTTCTTTTGATAGAGCAGTTTTGAAATCTGTTTTTGTAGAATCTGCAAGTGAATATTTGAAGTTTTGGGGGCCTTCATTGGAAACTGGATTTCTTCATATAAAACGTGACTAAAGAATCCTCAGAAACTTCTTTGTGATGTGTGCATTCTAGTCACAAAATTGAACTTTCCTTTAGATAGAGCAGTTTTGAAACTTTTTGTGTAGAATTTCCAAGTGGATATTTAGTGCTTTTAGAGGCCTATGGTAGAAAAGCAATAACTTCATAGAAAAACTAGACAGAAGCATTGTCAGAAACTACCTTGTGATATTTGAATTCAACTCACAGAGTTGAACATTCTTCTTTATAGAGCAGTTTTAAACACTCTTTTTGTAGAATCTACAAGTGGATATTTGGACCTCTTTGTGGCTTTCCTTTGAAACGTGATTTCTTCATGTAAATCTAGACATATAAATTCTCAGAAACTTCTTTGTGATGTGTGCTTTCAACTCACAGAGCTGAACCTTCCTTTCGATAGAGGAGTTTTGAAATTCTCTTTTTGTAGAATTTCCAAGTGAACATTGAGTGAAGTTTGAGGCCTATGTTAGAAAAGGAAATATCTTCATACAAAAACTAGACAGAATCATTCTCAGAAACTGCTTTGTGATGTGTGCTTTCAGTTTACAGAGTTTAAATTTTCTTTTGATAGAGCAGTTTTGAAACTCTCTTTTTGTAGAATTTCCAAGTGGATATTTAGAGCAGTTTGAGGCCTATGGTAGAAAAGGAAATATCTTCACATAAAAATTAGGCAGAAGCATTGTCAGAAACTTCTTTGTGATACTTGCCTTCAACTGACAAAGTTGCGCATTCCTCTTGATAGAGCAGTTTTGAAACATCTTTTTGTAGAATCTGCAAATTGATATTTAGGTTTTTTGAGGTCTTCGTTTGAAAGGGGGTTTCTTCATATAAAACTTGACATAAGAATTCTCAGAAACTTCTTTGTGATGTGTGCATTCAACTGCAAGAGATGAACCTTCCTTTCGATAGAGCAGTTTTGAAATAATCTTTTTGTAGTATTCCCAAATGGATATTTATTGCGGTTAAAGGCCTGTGGTAGAAAAGGAAATATCTTCATAAAAAAACTAGACAGAATATTTCTCAGAAACTACTTTGTGATGTGTGCATTCAGCTTACAGAGTTTAACCTTTCCTTTGATAGAGCAGTTTTGAAACAAAATTTTTGTGGTATTTGCAAGTATATATTTAGATTGCTTTGTGGCCTATGGGAGAAAAGGAAATATCTTCGCATAAAAACTAGACAGAAACATTGTCAGAAACTACCTTGTGATATTTGCATTCAACTAACAGAGTTGAAAGTTCCTCTTGATAGAGCATTTTTGAAACACTCTTTTTGTAGAACCTGCAAGTGGATATTTGGACCTCTTTGTGGCCTTTGTTTGAAACTTGATTTCTTAATGTAAAACTAGACAGCAGAATTCTCAGAAAATTTTGTGATGTATGCTTTGAACTCACAGAGTTGAATCATCCTTTCGATAGAGCAGTTTTCAAACCCTCTTTTTGTAGAATTTCCAAGTGGATATTTAGAGCCGTTTGAGGCCTCTGTTAGAAAAGGAAATATTTTCATAGAAAAACTAGACAGAATGATTCTCAGATACTACATTGTGATGTGAGCTTTCAACTCACAGAGTTAAACCTTTCTTTTGATAGAGCAGTTTTGAAACACTGTTTTTGCAGAATCTGCAAGTGGATATTTAGAACTCTTTGTGGCCTTCATTTGAAACGTGATTTCTTCATATAAAACTTGACAGAAGAATTCTCAGAAATTTATTTGTGATGTGTGCTTTCAACTCACAGAGTTGTCTTCCTTTTGATAGAGCAGTTTTGAAACTCTGTTTTTGTAGAATTTCCAAGTGGATATTTAGCGCCATTTGAGGCCTATAGTGGAAAAGGCAATATCTTCATAGAAAAACTAGACAGAATGATTCTCAGAAACTACTTTATGATGTGTGCGATCTATTCACAGAGTTTAATCTTTCTATTGATAGAGCAGTTTTGAAACATTCTTTTTGTAGATTCTGCTTGTGAATATTCGGACTCTCTTGAGGCCTTTGTTGGAAACAGGATTTCTTCATTTAAAACTTGACAGAAGAATTCTCAGAAACTTCTTTCTAATGTGTGCATTCAACTTACAGGTTTGAACCTTCCTTTCAATAGAGCAGTTTTGAAACTCTTTCTGTGGCATTTCCAAGTGGATATTTAACGCAGCTTGAGGCCTGTGGTAGAAAAGGGAATATCTTCTTAGAAAAACTAGTCAGAATGATTCTCAGAAACTACATTGTGATATTTGCATTCAACTCACAGTGTTGAAAATTCCTCTTGATAGAGCAGTTTTGAAACACCCTTCTTTAGAATCTGCAAATTAATATTTGGACTTTTTTGAGACCTTCGTTGGAATCAGGTTTTCTTCATATAAAACATAACATAAGAATTCTCAGAAACTTCTTTATGATGTGTGCATTCAACTCCCAGGGTTGAACCTTCCTTTCAATAGAGCAGTTTTGAAACACATTTTTTTTTGTAATGTGCATGTGTATATTTAGAGCGCTTTGAGGCCTAGGGTAGAAAAGGAAATATCTTCACATAAAAATTAGACAGAAGCATTGTCAGAAACTACTTTGTGCTATTTGCATTCCACTCACAGAGTTGAACGTTCCTCTTGATAGAGCAATTTTGAAACACTCTTTTTGTAGTATCTGCAAGAGAATATTTGGACTCTTTTGGGGCCTTCGTTGGAAACGGGTTTCTTCATATAAACTTGAGAGAAGAATTCTAAGAATCTTCTTTGTGATGTGTGCATTCAACACTCACACTTGAACCTTCTTTTCAATAGAGCAGTTTTGATTTACTCTTTTTGTAAAATTTCCAACTGTATATTTTGAGCGGTTTGAGGTCTGTGGTAGAAAAGGAAATATCTTCATAGAAAAACTGGACAGAATCATTCCTAGAAACTTATTTTTGATGTGTGCATTCAGCTTACAGAGTTTAACATTTCTTTTGATAGAGCAGTTTTGAAACACTCTTTCTGTTGAATTTGCAAGTGTATATTTAGAATGCTGTGAGGCCTACGGTAGAAAAGGAAATATCATCACATAATAACTAGACAGAAACATTGTCAAACACTACTTTGTGATTTTTGCATTCAATTCACAGAGTTGAACGTTCCTCTTGATAGAACAGTTTTGAAACACTCTTTTTGTAGAGTCTGCAAGTGGATATTTGTGCCTGTTTGCGGCCTTCTTTTGAAACGTGATTTCTTCATATAAAACTAGACAGACGAACTCTCAGAAACTTCTTTGTGATGTGTGCTTTAAACTCACAGAGTTGAACCTTCCTTTCAATAGAGAAGTTTTGAAACTCTCTTTTTGTTGAATTTCGAAGTGGATATTTAGCGCCGTTTCAGGCCTATGGTAGAAAAGGCAATATCATCTTCATAGAAAAACTAGACAGAATGATTTCCAGAAACTAATTTGTGATGTGTGCGTTCAACTCACAGAGTTTAACCTTTCTTTTGATAGAGCAGTTTTGAAACACTCGTTTTGTAGAATCTGCAAGTGAATATATGGACTTTTTTGAGGCCTTCTTTGGAAAGGGGATTTCTTCATATAAAACTTGACAGAAGAATTCTCAGAAACTCCTTTGTGATGTGTGCATTGAACTCACAGAGTTGAACCTTCATTTCAATACAGCAGTTTTGAAATAATCTTTTGGTAGAATTTCCAAGTGGATATTCAGAGCGGTTTGAGGCCTGTGGTAGAAAAGGAAATATCTTCATAGAAAAATTAGACAGAATCATTCTCAGAAACTACTTTGTAATGTGTGCATTCAGCTGACAGAGTATAAACTTTCTTTTGGTAGAGCAGTTTTGAAACACTCTTTTTGTGGAATTTGCAAGTGTATATTTAGAGTGCTTTGAGGCCTACAGTAGAAAGGGAATATCTTCACATAAAAACTAGAGAGATGCATTGTCAGAAACTACTTTGTGACATTTACTTCAACTCACAGAGTTGAGCATTCGTCTTGATTGAGCAGTTTGGAAACACTCTTTTTGTAGAATCTGCAAGTAAATATTTGGACTTTTTGAGGCCTTCGTTGGAAACGGGATTGTTTCATATAAAAGTTGACAGAAGAATTCCCAGAAAATACTTCGTGATCTGTGCATTCAACTCACAGAGTTGAAGCTTCCTTTCGATAGAGCAGTTTTGATATAATCTTTTTGTAGAATTTCCAATTGGATATTTAGAGCCTTTTGAGGCCTATTGTAGAAAAGGAAATACCTTCATAGAAAAACTTGACAGAATCATTCTCAGAAACTACTTTGTGATGTGTGCATTCAGCTTATTGGGTTTAAACTTTCCTTTGATAGAGAAGTTTTCAAAGACTCTTTTTGTAGAATTTGCAAGTGTATATTTAGAGCGCTTTGAGGCCGACAGTAGGAAAGGAAATATCTTCACAAAACTAGACAGAATCATTGTCAGAAACTACTTTGTGATATTTGCATTCAACTCACAGAGTTGAACATTCCTTTTGATAGAGCAGTTTTGAAACACTATTTTTGTAGGATCTGCAAATTAATATTTGGACTTTTTTGAGGCCTTCGTTGGAAACGGGATTTCTTCATGTAAAACTTGACAGAAGAATTCTCAGAAACTTCTTTGTGATGTGTGCATTCAACTCCCAGAGTTGAACCTTCCTTTCGATAGATCAGTTTAAAACTCTCTTTTTGTAGATTTCCAAGTGGATATTTAGCGCCATTTGAGGCCTGTGGTTGAAAAGGCAATATCTTCATAGAAAAATTAGAAAGAATGGTTCTCAGAAACTACTTTGTAATGTGTGCGTTCAACTCACAGAGTTTAACCTTTTTTTTTTTGATAGAGCAGCTTTAAACACTCTGTTTGTAGAATCTGCAAGTGGATATATTGACCTCTTTGTGGCGTTCGTTTGAAACGTGATTTCTTCATATAAAACTAGACAGAAAAATTCTCAGAAACTTCATTGTGATGAGTGCTTTCAACTCACAGATTTGAAACATCCTTTCAATATAGCAGTTTTGAAGCTCGGTTTTTGTAGAATTTCCAAGTGGCTATTTAGCATCGCTTGAGGCCTATGGTAGAAAAGGAAATATCTTCATAGAAAAACTAGACAGAATGATTCTCAGAAACTATATTCTCATGTGTGAGTTCTATTCACTGAGTTTTAACTTTCTTTTGACAGAGCAGTTTTGAAACACTCTTTGTGTAGAATGTGCAAGTGAATATTTGGACATTTTTGAGGCCTTGGTTGGAAACGGGATTTCTTGATATAAATCTTACAGAAGAATTCTCAGAAGTTTCTTTGCGATGTGTGCTTTCAACTCACAGAGTTGAACCTTCCTTTCAATAGAGCAATTTTGAAATACTCTTTCTGTACTATTTCCCAGTGGATATTTAGACTGGTTTGAGGCCTATGGTAGAAAGGGAATTATCTTCAAAAAAAAACTAGACAAAATCATTCTCAGAAACAACTTTGTGATGTGTGCATTCAGCTAACAAAGTTTAAACTTTCTTTTGATAGAACAGTTTTGAAACACTCTTTTTTTTGGTATTTGCAAGTGCATATCTATAGAGGTTTGAGGACTACAGTAGAAAAGGAAATATCTTCAATTAAAAACTAGACAGAAGCATTGTCAGAAACTACTTTGTGATATTTGCGTTCAACTAATGGAGTTGAACATTCGTCTTGATAGAGCACATTGGAAACACTATTTTTGTAGGATCTGCAAGTAAGTATTTGGACTTTTTGGAGCCTTCGTTGGAAACGTCATTTCTTCATATAAAACTTGGCAGAAGAATTCAGAGACACTTCTTTGAGACTTGTGCATTCAACTCACAGAGTTGAACCTTCCTTTCGATAGATCAGTTTTGAAATACTCTTTTTGAAGTATTTCCAAGTGGATATTTAGAGCGGTTTGAGGCCTATTGTAAAAAAGGAAATATCTTCCTAGAAAAACTAGACGGAATAATTCTCAGAAACTACTTTGTGATGTGTGCATTCAGCTAACAGAGTTTAAGCTTTCTTTTGATAGAGCAGTTTTGAAACACTGCTTTTGTGGAATTTGTAAGTGTATAGTTAGAGAGCTTTGAGGCCTATGGTAGAAAAGGAAATATCTCCAGGTAAAAACTAGGCAGAAGAATTGTCAGAAACTACTTTGTGATGTTTGCATTCAACTCACAGAGTTGAACTTTCCTCTTGATAGAGCAGTATTGAAACACTCATTTTCTAGAATCTGCAAGTGGATATTTGGACCTCTTTGTGGCCTTCGTTTCAAACGTGATTTCTTCATATAAAACTAGACAGAAGAATTCTCAGAAACTTCTTTGTGATATATGCTTTCAAATCACAGAGTTGAATCTTTCTATCGATAGAGCAGCTTTGAAACTCTCCTTTTGTAGGATTTCCAAGTGGATACTTAGAGCCGTTTGAGGTCTATGGTAGAAAAGGCAATATCTTCATAGAAAAACTAGACAGAATGATTCTCAGAAACAACTTTGTGATGTGTGCATTCAATGCACTGGGTTTAACGTTTCTTTTGATAGAGCAGTTTTGAAACACACTTTTGGTAGAATCTGCAAGTGAATATTTGGACTTTTTTTAGGCCTTCTTTGGAAATGGGATTTCTTCAAATAAAACTTCAGGGAAGAATTCTCAGAAACTTCTTGGTGATATCTGCATTCAAGTCACAGAGTTGAGCCTTCATTTCGACAGAGCAGTTTTGAAATACTCTTTTTGTAGAATTTCCATGTGGATATTTATTGCGGTTTGAAGCCTATGGTAGAAATGGAAATATCTTCGTAGAAAAACAAGACAGAATCATTATCAGAAACTTGTTTGTGAAATATGCATACAGCTTTCAGAATTTAACCTTTCTTTTGATAGAGCAGTTATGAAACACTCTTTTTGTGTAATTTCCAAGTGTATAGTTCGAGCGTTTCGTGGTCTACCATAGAAAAGGAAATATCTTCACATAAAAACCAGACAGAGGCATTGTCAGAAACTACATTGTGATATTTGCATTCAACTCACAGAGTTGAACATTCCTCTTGATAGTGCAGTTTTAAAACACTCTTTTTGTAGAATCTGCAATTAAATATTTGGACCTCTTTGTGGCGTTCTTTTGAAACGTGATTTCTTCATATAGAACAAGACAGAAGAATTCTCAGAAACTTCTTTGTGATGTGTGCTTTCAACTCACAGAGTTGAACCTTACTTTCGATAGAGCAGTTTTGAAACTCTTTTTGTAGAACTTCCAAGTGGATATTTAGCGTCGTTTGAGGCCTATCGTTGAAAAGGCAATATCTTCATAAAAAAACTACACAGAGTGATTCTCAGAAACTACTTTGTGAGGTGTGCGTTCAACTCAAAGGGTTTCACCATTCTGTTGATAGAGCAGTTTTGAAACAATGTTTTTGTGGAATCTGCAAGTGAATATTTGGACTTTTTTGAAGCCTTCGTTGGAAACGGGTTTTCTTCATATAAAATTGAACAGAAGAATTCTCAGAAACTTCTTTGTGATGTGTGCATTCAACTAACAGTTTTGAACCTTCCTTTCGAAAGAGCAGTTTTGAAATACTGTTTTTGTATAATTTCCAAATTTATATTTAGCTCCGTTTGAGGCCTCTGGTAGAAAAGGAAATATCTTCATAGAAAAACGAGACAGGATCATTCTCAGAAATTACTTTGTGATTTTTGCATTCAGCTGACAGAGATTAACCTTACTTTTGATAGAGCAGTTTTGAAACACTGCTTTTGTGGAATTTGAAAGTATATATTTAGAGCTCTTTGAAGGCTACGTCGAAAAGGAAATATCTTCACATAAAAACTAGACAGAAGCATTGTCAGAAACTACTTTGTGATATTTGCATTCAACTCACAGAGTTGAACATTCCTCTTGATAGAGCAGTTTTGAAATACTCTTTTTGTAGAATCTGCAATTGATTATTTTGTCCTCTTTGTGGCATTCGTTTGAAACGTAATTTCTTCATATAAAACTAGGCAGAAGAGTTCTCAGAAACTTCTTTGTTATGTGTGCTTTTAACTCACAGAGTTGAACCTTCCTTTCCATAGAGGTGTTTTGAAACTCTCTTCTTGTATAATTTCCAAGTTGATATTTATCGCCGTTTGAGGCCTATGGTAGAAAAGGCAATATCTTCATAGGAAAACTAGACAGAATGATTCTCAGAAACTACTTTGTGATGTGTGCTTTCAACTCACTGGGTTTAATCTTTCTTTTGATAGAGCAGTTTTGAAACACTCTTATTGTAGAATCTGCAGGTGAATATTTCTACTTTTTTGAGGCCTCCGTTGGAAACGGGATTTCTTCATAAAACTTGACAGAAGAATTCTCAGAAACTTATTTGGGAGGTTTGCATTCAACTCAGAGAGTTGAAATTTCCTTTTGATAGAGCAGTTTTGAAATACTCTTTTTGTAGAATTTCAAAGTGGATATTTAGTTCCGTTTGAGGCCTATGGTAGAAAAAGAAATATCTTCATAGAAAAACAAGATAGAATCATTTTCAGAAACTACTTTGTGATGTGTGCATTCAGCTTAAGTGTTTACCATTCTTTTTGATATCGCAGTTTTAAACACTCTTTTTCTGCAATTTGCAAGTGTATATTTTAGTGTTTTGAGGCCTATGGTAGAAAAGGAAATATCTTCACATGAAAACTAGACAGAAGCATTGTCAGAAACTACTTTGTGATATTTGCATTCAACTCACAGAGTTGAAAATTCCTCTTGATAGAGGAGTTTTGAATCACTCTTTTTGTACAATCTGCAATCGGATATTTGGACCTCTTTGTGGCGTTCGTTTGAAACGTGATTTCTTCGTATAAAACTACACAGAAGAATTCTCAGAAACTTCTTTGTGATGTGTGCTTTCAACTCACAGAGTTGAAACTTTCTTTCGATAGAGGAGTTTAGAAACTCTCTTTTTGTAGAATTTCCAAGTCGATATTTAGTGCCGTTTGAGGCCTATGGTAGAAAAGGAAATATCTTTTAAGAAAAACTAGATAGAATGATTCTGAGAAACTTCTTTGTGATGTTTGCTTACGACTCACAGAGTTTAACGTTTCTTTTGATAGAGCTTTTTTGAAACAGTCTTTTTGTAGAATCTGCAAGTGAATATTTGGACTTTTTGGAGGCCTTTTTTGGAAATGGGATTTCTTCATAGAAAACTTGACAGAAGAATTCTCAGAAACTGTTTTGTGATGTGCGCATTCAACTCACAGTGTTAAACCTTCTTTTTGATAGAGCAGTTTTGAAATTCTCTTTTTGTAGAATTTCCAACTGGATATTTAGAGCAGTTTGAGGCCTATGCTAGAAAAGGAAATATTTTCATAGAAAAACTAGACAGAATCATTCTCCGAAACTATTTCTGATGTGTGCATTCAGCTGACAGAGGTTAGCCTTCCTTTTCATAGAGCAGTTTTAAAACAGTCTTTTGGGGAATTTGCAAGTGTATATATAGAGCGCTTTGAGGCCTACCGTATAAAAGGAAATATCTTCACATAAAAACTAGACAAGCATTGTCAGAAACTACTTTGTGATATTTACATTCATCTTACAGAGTTGAACATTCCTCTTGATAGAGCAGTTTTGAAACACTCATTTTGTAGAATCTCCAGGTGGATATTTGGACCTCTTTGTAGCCTTTATTTGAAACGTGATTTCTTCTTCTAAAACTATACAGAAGAAGTCTCAGAAACATATTTGTGATGTATGCTTTCAACTCACATAGTCGAACCTTCCTTTCGACAGGGCAGTTTCGAAACTCTCTTTTTGTAGAATTTCCAAGTGGATATTTGCCGCCTTTTGAGGTCTACGGTTGAAAAGCAAATAGAAAACTAGACATTATGATTCTCAGAAACTACTTTGTGATGTGTGCGTTCAAGTCACAGAATTTAACCTTTCTTTTGATAGAGCAGTTTTGAAACACTCTTTTTGCAGTATGTGCAAGTGAATATTTGAACTTTTTTGAGGCCTTCTTTGGAAACGGGATTTCTTCATATAAACTTGACAGAAGAATTCTCAGAAAATTCTTTGTGATATGTGCATTCAACTCAAATGTTTGAACCTTCTTTTCGATAGAACAGTTTTGAAATTCTCTTCTTTTATTTTTTCCAAGTGGCTATTTAGAGCGGTTTGAAGCCTATGGTAGAAAAGGAAATATCTTCATAGAAAAACTAGACAGAATCATTCTCAGAAACTACTTCGTGAAGTTTGCATTCAGCTTACAGAATTTAACCTTTATTTTGATAGAGCACTTTTGAAACACTCTTTTTGTGGAATTTGCAAGTGTATATTTAGAGCGCTTTGTGGTCTAAGGTAGAAAAGGATATATCTTCACATAAAAACTAGACAGAAGCATTGTCAGAAAATTCTTTGGATATTTGCATTCAACTCACGATGTTGAACATTCCTCTTTATAGAACAGTTTTGAAACGCTCTTTATGTATTATCCGCAAGTGGATATTTGGACTTCTTTGTGGCCTTCTTTTTAAACATGATTTTTTCATATAAATCTAGGCAGAAGAATTCTCAGAAACATTTTGTGATGTGTGCTTTCAACTTACAGATTTGAACCTTCCTTTGGATAGAGCAGTTTTGAAACTCTCTTTTTGTAGAATTTCCAAGTTGGTATTTAGTGCCGTTTGAACCCTACGGTAGAAAAGGAAACATCTTCATAGAGAAACTAGACAAAATGATTCTCATAAACTACTTTGTGATGTGTGCGTTCAACTCACAGAGTTTAAACTTTGTTTTGATAGAGCAGTTTTGAGACACTGTTTTTGTATAATCCGCAAGTTAATATTTGGACTTTTTTGAGGCCTTCGATGGAAACGGGATTTGTTCATATAAAACTTCACAGAAGAATTCTCAGAAACTTTTTTGTGATGTGCGCATTCAACTCAAAGAATTGAACCTTCATTTCAAAGGAGCAGTTTTGAAATACTCTTTTTGTAGAATTTCCAAGTGTGTACTTAGAGCGGTTGGAGGACAATTGTAGAAAAGGAAATAACTTCATAGAAAAACTAGACAGAATCATTCTCAGAAACTGCTTTGTGATGTGTGCATTCAGCTTACAGAGTTTAACTTTTCTTTTGATAGAGCAGTTTTGAAACACTCCTTTTGTGGAATTTGCAAGTTTATATTTAGAGCTCTTTGAGGCCTACTGTAGAAAAGAATATATCTTCAGATAAAAACTAGACAGAAGCATTGTCAAAAACTACTTTGTGATATTTGCATTCAACTCACAGAGTTGAACATTACACTTGATAGAGAAGTTTGAAATACTCTTTTTGTAGAATCTGCAAGTGGATATTTGACCTCTTTTTGGCCTTCGTTTGAAACGTGATTTCTTCATGTAAGACTAGAGAGAAGAATTCCCAGAAACTTCTTTGTGATGTGTGCTTTCCACTCACAGAATTGAAACTTTCTTTGGATAGAGCAGTTTTGAAACTTTCTTTATGTAGAATTTCCAAGTGGATATTTACCACCCTTTGAGGCCAAAGGTATAAAAGGCAACACCTTCATAGAAAAACTAGACAGAATGATTCTCAGAAACTACGTTGTTATTTGTGCATTCAACTCACAGAGTGTAAATTTTCTTTTAGTAGAGCAGTTTTGAAACACTCTTTTTGTAGAATCTGCAAGTGAATATTTGGACTTTTTTGAGGCCTTCGTTGGAAAAGGGATTTCTTCATATAAAAGTTGACATAAGAATTCTCAGAAACTTCTTTGTGATGTGTGCATTCAACTCACAGAGTTGAACCTTCATTTTGAAAGGGCAGTTTTGAAATACTCTTTTTGAAGAATTTCCAAGTGGATATTTAGAACGGTTTGAGGCCTAGGGATGTAAAGGAAATATCTTAGTAGAGAAACTAAATAGAAACATTTTCATAAACTACTTTGTGATGTGTGTATTCAGCTTTCAGAGTTTATCCTTTCTTTGATAGAGCAGTTTTGAACACTCTTTTTGTGGAATTTGCAAGTGTGTTTTTAGAGCGCTATAAGGCCTACAGTAGAAAAGGAGATATCTTCACCTAAAAACTAGACGGAAGCATTGTCAGAAACTACTTAGTGATATTTGCATTCAACTCACTGAGTTGAATATTCCTCTTGATAGAGCAGTTTTGAAACACTCTTTTTGTAGAATCTGCAAGTGGATATGTGGACCTCTTAGAGGCCTTCGTTTGAAACGTGATTTCTTCGTGAAAAACGAGACAGAATAATTCTCAGAAACTCCTTTGTGATGTGAGCTTTCAACTCCCCGATTTGAACCTTCTTTTCGATAGAGGAGTTTTGAAACTCGCTTTTAGTAGAATTTCCAAGTAGATATTTAGTGCCGTTTGAGGCCTAGGGTAGAAAAGTCAATATCTTCGTAGAAAAAGTAGACAGAATGATTCTCAGAAACTACTTTGTGATGTGTGCGTTCAACTCAGAGAGTTTAAACTTTATGTAGATAGAGCAATTTTGAAACTCTCTTTTTGTAGAATCTGCAAGTGAATAGTAGGACTTTTTTGAGGCCTTCCTTGGAAACGTGATTTCTTCATATACAAGTTGTCAGAAGATTTCTCAGAAACTTCTTTCTGATGTGTGCATTCAACTCATAGTGGTAAACCTTCCTTTCGTTAGAACAGTTTTGAAATTCTCTTTTTGTAAAATGTCCGATTGGATATTTAGAGTGGCTTGACGCCTATGCTAGAAAAGGAAATATCTTCATAGAAACACTAGACAGAATCATTCACAGAAACTACCTTTTGATGTGTGCATTCAGCTTGAGGAGTTTAACCTTTCTTTTTGATAGAGCAGTTTTGCAACTCCCTTTTTGTGGAATTTGCAATTTTATATTTAGAGTGCTTTGAGGCATACGGTAGAAAAGGAAATATCTTCACATAAAAACTAGACAGAAGCATTGTCAGAAACTACTTTGTGATATTTGCATTCAACACACAGGGTTGAACATTATTCTTGAAAGAGCAGATTATAGACTCTCCTTTTGCGAATCTACAAGTGGATATTTGTACCTCTTTGTGGCCGTCGTTTGAATCTTGATTTCTTCATTTAAAACTAGATAGAAGAATTCTCAGAAAGCTCTTTGTGATGTGTCCTTTCAACTCAAATATTTGAACCTTCCTTTCAATAGAGCAGTTTTGAATCTCCTCTTTTGTAAAATTTCCAAGTGGATATTTAGCGCCGTTTGAGGCCTATGATAGAGAAGGCAATAACTTCATAGAAAAAGTAGTCATTATGATTCTCAGAAACTACTTTGTGATGTGTGCATTGAATGCACGGAATTTAAGCTTTCTATTGATAGAGGAGTTTTGAAACACTGTTTTTCTAGAATCTGCAATTGAATATTTGGTCTTTTTTGAGGCCTTCGTTGGAAACGGGATTTCTTCATATAAAACTTGACAGAGGAATTTTCAGAAACTATATTGTGTTGTGTGCATTCAACTCACAGACTTGAACCTTCCTTTTGAATGTGCAGTTTTGAAATACTCTTTTTGTAGAATTTCCAAGTGTATATTTAGAGCGTTTTGAGGCCTAGGGTAAAAAAGGAAATATCTTCATAAGAAAACCAGACAGAATCATTCTGAGAAACTACTTTGTGATGTGTGCATTCAGCTTACAGAGTTTAACCTTTCCTATGATAGAGCAGTTTTGAAACACTCTTTTCGTGGAATTTGCAATTGTATATTTAGTGCACTTTGAGGCCTATGGTAGAAAAGGAAATATCTTCCCATAAAAACTAGACAGAAGCAATGTCAGAAACTCCTTTGTGATATTTGCATTCAACTCACAGAGTTGAACATTCCTCTTGATAGAGCGGTTTTTAAACACTCTTTTTGCACAGTCTACAAGTGGATATTGGGACCTCTTTGTGGCCTTCGTTTGAAACGTGATTTCTTCATATATAACTGGACAGAAGAATTCTCAGAAACTACTTTGTGATGTGGGCTTTCAACTCACAGAGTTGAACATTCCTTTCAATACAGCAGTTTTGAAATACTCTTTGTTTAGAATTTCCAAGTGGATATTTACAGCGGTTTGAGGCCTGTGCTAGAAAAGGAAATATCTTCATAGGAAAACTTGACAGAATGATTCTCAGAAACTACATTGTGATGTGTGTGTTCAACTCACAGGGTTTAACCTTTCTTTTGATAGAGCAGTTTTGAAACACTCTTTTTGTGGAATCTGCAAGTAAATATTTGGACTTTCTTAAGGCCTTCTTTGGAAACGGGATTTCTTCATTAAAACTTCACAGAAGAATTCTCAGAAAATTCTTTGTGATGTGTGCATTCATCTCACAGATTTGAACCTTCCGTTGAATAGAGCAGTTCTGAAATACTCTTTTTGTAGATTTTCCAAGTGGGTATTTAGAGTGGTTTGAAGCCTGTGGTAGAAAAGGAAATATCTTCATTGAAAACCTAGACAGAATCATTCTCAGAAACTGCTTTGTGATGTGTGCATTCAGCTTACAGAGTTTTACATTACTTTTGATAGAGCAGTTTTGAAACACTCTTCTTTTTGCGAAATTTGCAAGTGTGTATTTTGAGCGCTTTGAGGCCTACCTTAGAAAATAAAATATCTTCATATAAAAACTAGACAGAAGCATTGTCAGAATCTGCTTTGTGATATTTGCATTCAACTAACACGGCTGAATCTTCTTCTCTATAGAGCAGTTTTGAAACACTCTTTTTGTAGAATCTGCAAGTGGATATTTGGACCTCTTCGTGGCCTTCGTTTGAAACGTGATTTCTTCATTTAAAACTAGAAAGAAGAATTCTCTGAAACTTCTTTGTTATGTGATCATTCAACTCACAGAGTTGAACCTTCCTTCAGATAGAGCAGCTTCGAAATACTCTTTTTGGAGAATTTCCAACTGGATATTTAGAGCAATTTGAGGCTGATGGTAGAAAAGGCAATATGTTCATAGAAAAACTAGACAGAATGACTCTGAATGTACCTTGTGATGTGTGCGTTCAACTCACAGAGTTTATTCTTTCTTTTGATAGAGCAGTTTTGAAACACTCTTTTTGTAGAGTCTGTAAGTGAATATTTGGGCTTTCTTGGGGCTTTGTTGGAAACAGGATTTCTTCAAATAAAACTTGACAGAAGAATTCTCAGAAACTTCTTTGTGATGTGTGCATTCAACTCAAAGTCTTGAACCTTCCTTTCGATAGAGCAGTCTTGAAATACTCTTTTCGTAGAATTTTCCAACGGATATTTACAGTGGTTTCAGGCCGGTGGCACAAAAGGAAATATCTTCATTGAAAAAGTAGACAGAATCATTCTGAGAAACGACTTTGTGATGTGTGCGTTCAGCTTACAGAATTTAACCTTTCTTTTGATAGAGCAGTTTTGAAACTCTTTTTGTAGAATTTCCAAGTGTATACTTAGAACGGTTTGAGGCCTATGGTAGAAAAGGCAATATCTTCATAGAAAAGCTAGACAGATTGATTCTCAGAAACAACTCTGTGTTGCGTGCATTCAACTCACAGAGTTTAAACTTTCTTTTGATAGAGCAGTTTTGAAACACACTTTTTGTAGAATCTGCAGGTAAATATTTGGAGTTTTTTAGGCCTTCGTTGGATACGGGACTTCTCCATATAAAACTTGACAGAAGAATTCTCAGAAACTTCTTTGTGATGTAAGCATTCAACTCACAGAGTTGAAACTTCCTTTCGATAGAGCAGTTTTGAAATACTCTTTTTGTAGTATTTCCAAGTGGATATTTAGTGCGGTTTGAGGCCTCTGGTAGAAAGGGAAATATATTCATTGAAAAAATAGACAGAATCATTCTCAGAAACAACTTTGTGATGTGTGCGTTCAGCTTACAGAATTTAACCTTTCTTTTGATAGAGCAGCTTTGAAACACTCTTTCTGTGGAATTTGCAAGTGCATATTTAGAGCGGTTTGAGGCCTAGGGTAGAAAAGGAAATATTTTCACATAAAAACTAGACAGAAACATTGTCAGAAACTACTTTGTGATACTTGCATTTAACTCACAGAGTGGACAATTCCTCTTGATAGAGCAGTTTTGAAACACTCTTTTTGAAGAATCTGCAGGGGGATATTTGGATGTCTATGTGGCCTTCTTTTGAAACGTGATTTCTTCATCTAAACCTAGACAGAAGAATTCTCAGAAACTTCTTTGTGATGTGTGCTTTCAACTCACAGAGTTGAACCTTACTTTCAATAGGGCAGTTTTGAAACTCTCTTTCTGTAGATTTCCAAGTGTATATTTAGCGCCATTTGAGGCCTATGGTAGAAAAGGCAATATATTCATAGAAAAACTAGACAGAAAGAATGATTCTCAGAAACTACTTTGTGGTTTGTGTTTTCAACTCACAGAGTTTAACCTTTCTTTTGGTAGAGCAGATTTGAAACGCTCTTTTTTAGAACCTACAAGTGAATATTTGGACTTTTTTGAGTCCTTCGTTGGAAACGGGTTTTCTTCATATAAAACTAGACAGAAGAATTCTCAGAAACTTCTTTGTGATGTGTGCATTCAACTCACAGGTTTGAACCTTCCTTTCGATAGATTAGCATTGAATCTCTCCTTTTTTAGAAATTCCAAGTGGATATTTAACGGCATTTGAGGCCTATGGTAGAAAAGGCAATATCTTCATAGAAAAGCTAGACAGAATGATTCTCAGAAACAACTCTGTGATGTGTGCATTCATCTCACAGAGTTTAAACTTTATTTTGATACAGCAGTTTTGAAACACGCTTTTTGTAGGATCTGCAAGTGAATATTTGGACTTTTTTGAGGCCTTCGTTGGAAACGGGATTTCTTCATATAAAACTTGACAGAAGAATTCTCAGAAACTTCTTTGTGATGTGAGCATTCAACTCACAGGGTTGAACCTTCCTTTCCATAGAGCAGTTTTGAAACACTCTTTTTGTAGAATTTCCAAGTGGATATTTAGTGCGGTTTGAGGTCTCTGGTGGAAAAGAAAATATCTTCATAGAAAAACTAGACAGAATCATTCTCAGAAGCTGCTTTGTGATGTGTGCATTCAGCTTACAGAGTTCAACCTTTCTTTTGATAGAGCAGCTTTGAAACACTCTTTCTCTGCCATTTGCAAGTGCATATTTAGAGTGCTTTGATGACTACGGTAGAAAAGGAAATATCTTCACATAAAAAGTTGTCAGAAGCATTGTCAGAAACTACCTTGTGATATTTGCATGCAACTCACAGAGATGAACATTCCTCTTGATGGAGCAGTTTTAAAACACTCTTTTTGAAGATTCTGTAAGTGGATTTGTTGACCACCTTGCGGCCATCGTTTGAAACGGGATTTCTTCATATAAACCTGGAAAGAAGGATTCTCAGAAACTTGTTGGTGACGTGTGCTTTCAAATCACAGAGTTGAACCTTCCTTTCGATACAGCAGTTTTGAAACTCTCTTTTTGTAGTATTTCCAAGGGGATATTTAGCACAGTTTGACGCCTATGGTAGAAAAGTGAATAATTTCATAGAAAAGCTAGACAGATTGATTCTCAGAAACTACTTTGTGGTGTGTGCCTTCCACTCACAGAGTTTAGCCATCTTTTGATAGAGCAGTTTAGACACTCACTTTTTGTAGAATCTGCACTGGAATATTTGGACTTTTTTTGAGGCCTTCGTTGGAAACAGTATTTCTTCATATAAAACTTGACAGAAGAATTCTCAGAAACTTCTTTTTGATGTGTGCATTCAACTCACAGAGTTGAACCCTCCTTTCGATACAGCAGTTATGAAATACTCTTTTTGTAGAATCTCCAAGTGGATAGTTAGAGCGGCTTGAGGGCTATGGTAGAAAAGGAAATATCTTCACAGAAAAATTAGACAGAATGATTCTCAGAAACTACTTTGTGGTGTGTGCGTTCAACTCACATATTTAAACATTGCTTTTGATAGAGCAGTTTTGAAACACTCTTTTTGTGGAATTTTCAAGCGTATATTTAGAGCGCTTTGAGGCCTACGGTAGTAAAGGAATTATCTTCACATAGAAACTAGACAGAAGCATTGTCAGAAACTACTTTGTGATATTTGCATTCAACTCACAGAGTTGAATATTCCTCTTGAAAGAGCAGTTTTGAAACACTCTTTTTGTAGAATCTGCAAGTGGATATTTTGACCTCTTTGTGGCCTTCATTTGAAATGCTATTTCTTCATGTAAAACCAGACAGAAGAATTCTCAGAAACTTCTTTGTGATGTGTGCATTCAACTCACAATATTGAACCTTCCTTACAATAGAGCATTTCTGAAATACTCTTTTTGAAGAATTTCCAAGTGGATAATTAGAGCGGTTTGAGGCCTGTGGTAGAAAAGGAAATATCTTCATAGAAATCGACGACAGAATCATTCTCACAAACTACTTTGTGATGTGTGCATTCAGCTAACAGTGTTTAAACTTTCTTTTGATAGAGCAGTTTTGAAACACTCTTTTTGTGGAATTTTCAAGTGTATATTTAGAGCTCTTTGAGGGCTACGGTAGAAAAGAGAATATCTTCACATAAAAACTACATTGAAGCATCGTCAGAAACAACTTTGTGATATTTGCATTCAACTCACAGAGATGAACATTCCTCTTGATAGAGCAGCTTTGAAACACTCTTTTTGTAGAATCTGCGAGTGGATATTTGGACCCCTTTGTTGTCTTCGTTAGAAACGTGATTTCTTCGTATAAAACTACACAGAAGAATTCTCAGAAACTTCTTTGTGATGTTTGCTTTCAACTCACAGAGTTGAACTTTCCTTTCGAAAGGGCAGTTTTGATCCTCCATTTTGGTAGAATTTTCACGTGGATATTTAGCGCCATTGAGGCCTACGGTAGAAAAGACAATATCTTCATAGAAAAACTAGACAGAATGATTCTCCGAAACTACATTGTGCTGTGTGCGTTCAACTCACAGTGTTTAATCTTTCTTTTGATAGAGCAGTTTTGAAAAACTGTTTTTTTAGAACCTGCAAGTGAATATTTGGAGTTTTGGGGGCCTTGGTTGGAAACGGGATTTCTTCCTATAAAACATGACAGAAAAATTCTCAGAAACATATTTGTGATGTGTGCATTCAACTCACAGAATTGAACCTTCCTTTCGATAGAGCAGTTTTGAAATACTCTTTTTGTGGAATTTCCAAGTGTATATTTAGAGCGGTTTGAGGCATGTGGTAGAAAAGGAAATATCTTCATAGATAAACAAAATAGAATCATTCACAGAAACTACTTTGAGATGTATGCATTCAACTTACAGAGTTTAATCTTTCTTTTGATAGAGCAGTTTTGAAACACTACTTTTGTAGAATCTGCAAGTGAATATTTGGACTTTTTGGCAGCTTTTTTGGAAATGGGGTTTCTTCATATAAAACGTGACAGAAGAATTATCAGAAACTTACTAGTGATGTGTGCATTCAACTCACAGAGTTGAAACTACCTTTCGATAGAGCAGTTTGGAAATACTCTTTTTGTAGGATTTCTAAGTGGATATTTAGAGTGGTTTGAGGCGTATGGTAGAAAAGGTAATATCTTCATAGAAAAACTAGACAGAATCATTGTCAGAAACTACTTTTTGATGTGTGCATTTAGCTTACAGAGTTTAACCTTTCTTTTGGTAGAGCAGTTTTGAAACACTCTTTTTGTGGAATTTGCATGTGTATATTTCGAGCGCTTTGAAGCCTATGGTAGAAAAAGAAATATCTTCACATAAAAACTAGACAGAAGCATTGTCAGAAACTACTTTATGATATTTGCATTCAACTCAGTGTTGAAAATTCCTTTTGTTGGAGCAGTTTTGAAATACTCTTTTTGTAGATTCTGCAAGTGGATACGTTGACCTCTTTGTGGCCTTCGTTTGAAACGGGATTTCTTCATACGAAACGTGAGAGAAGAATTCTCAGAAACTTCTTTGTGATGTGTGCATTCAACTTACAGAGTTGAACCTTCCTTTCGAAACAGCTGTATTTAAACTCTCTTTTTGTAGAATTTCCAAGTGGATATTTAGCGTGGTTTGAGGCCTTTGTTTCAAAATGAAATAACTTCATAGAAAAATTAGACAGAATGATTCTCAGAAACTCCTTTGTGTTGTGTGCATTCAACTCAAAAACTTTAACTTTGCTTCAGATAGAGCAGTTTTGAAACTCTCTTTTTGCAGAATCCGCAAGTGAATATTTGGACTTTTTGAGGCCTTCTTTGGAAAAGGGATTTCTTCATATAAAACTTGACAGAAGTATTACCAGAAACTTCGTGGTGACGTGTGCATTAAACTCACTGAGTTGAACTTTCCTTTCGATAGAGCAGTTTTGAAATACTCTTTTTGTAGTATTTCCAAGCGGATATTTAGAGTGGTTTGAGGCCTATGGTAGAACAGGAAATGTCTTCATAGAAAAAATATACAGAATCATTCTCAGAAACTACTTTGTGATGTGTGCATTCAGCTTACGTATATTAAACTTTCTTTGATAGAGCAGTTTTGAAACACTCTTTTTCTGGATTTTCCAAGTGTATATTGAGACTGATTTGAGGCCTACTTTAGAAAAGAAAATATGTTCACATAAAAACAAGACAGAAGCATTGCCAGAAACTACTTTGTGATATTTGAATTCAACCCAAAGAGGTGAACATTCCTCTTGATAGAGCAAATTTGAAACTCTCTTTTTGCAGAATCTGCATGTGGATATTTGTACCTCTTTGTGGCCTTCGTTTGAAACGTGATTTCTTCATATAAAACTAGACAGAAGAATTCTCAGAAACTTCTTTGTGATGTGTGCTTTCAACTCACAGGAATGAAACTTCCTTTGGATACAGCAGTTTTGAAACTCTCTTTTTGTAGAATTTCGAAGTGAATATTTAGCGCCGTTTGAGGCCTAAGCTAGAAAAGGCAATATCTTCATAGAAAATCTAGAAAGAATGATTCACAGAAACAACTTTGTCGTGTGCGCGTTCAACTCACAGAGTTTAACTTTCTTTTGATAGAGCAGTTTTGAAACACTATTTTGTAGTATCTGCAAGAGAATATTTGGACTTTTTGGGGGCCTTCGTTGTAAACGGGATTTCTTCTTATAAAACGTGATAGAAGAATTCTCAGAAACTTCTTTGTGATGTGTGCATTCAACTCACAGATTTGAACTTTCCTTTCCATAGAGCAGTTTTGAAATACTCTTTTGGTAGAATTTCCAAGTGGATATTTAAAGCGGTTTGAGGCCTGTGGTAGAAAAGGAAATATCTTCATAGAAAAACTAGACAAAATCATTTTCAGAAACTACTTTGTGATGTGTGCATTCAGCTTACAGAGTTTAACCTTTCTTTTGATAGAGCAGTTTTGAAACCCTCTTCTTGAGGAATTTGCAAGTATATATTTTGAACACTTTGAAGCCTATGGTAGCAAAGGAAATATCTTCACATAAAAACTAGACAGAAGCATTGTCAGAAACTACTTTTAGATATATGCATTCAACTCACAGAGTTCAACATTTATCTTGATAGAGCAGTTTCGAAACACTCTTTTTGTAGAATCTGCAAGCGGATATTTGGACCTCTTTGTGGCCTTCATTTGAAACGTGATTTCTTCATATAAAACTAGACAGAAGAATTCTCAGAAACTTCTTTGTGATGTGACCTTTCAGCTCACAGTGTTGAACCTTCCTCTCGATGGAGCAATTTTGAAAATCTATTTTTGTAGAATTTCCAAGTGGATATTTAGCCCCGGTTGAGGCATATTTTAGTAAAGACAATATCTTCATAGAAAAACTAGACAGACTCATTCTCAGAAACTACTTTGTGCTGTGTGCATTCAGCTTACAGAGTTTAACATTTCCTTTCTAAGAGCAGTTTTGAAACACTCTTATTGTGGAATTTGCAAGTGTATATTTAGAGCGCTTTGCTGCATACCGTAGAAAAGGAAGTGTCTTCACATAAAACAATACAGAAGTGTTGTCGGAAACAACTTTGTGACATTTGCATTCAAATCACAGAGTTGAAGATTCCCCTTAATAGGGCAGTTTTGAAAAACTCTTTTGTAGAATCTTCAAGTTTATATTTGAACATTTGTGTGGCCTTCGATTGAAACGTGATTTCTTCATATAAAACTAGACAGAAGAATTCTCAGAAACTTCTTTGTGATGTGTGCTTTCAACTCACAGAGTTGAACTTTCCTTTCGATAGAGCAGTTTTGAAACTCTCTTTCTGTGAAATTTCCAAGTGGACATTTAGCGCCGCTTGAGGCCTATGGTAGAAAAGGAAATATCTTCATAGAAAAATTAGACAGAACGATTCTCAGAAACTACATTGTGCTGTGTGCGTTCAACTGACAGACTTTAATCTTTCTTTTGATAGAGCAGTTTTGAAACACTATTTTTGTAGTATCTGCAAGCGAATATTTGGATTTTTTCGGGGCCTTCGTTGGAAACGGGATTTCTTCGTTTGAAAAGTGACAGAAGAATTCTCAGACTACTTTGTGATGTGTGCATTCAACTCACAGAATTGAACCTTCCTGTTGATAGAGCAGTTTTGACATACACTTTTTTTAGTATTTCCAAGTGGATATTTACAGCGGTTTGAGGTCTGTGGTAGAAAAGGAAGTATCTACCTAGAAAAACTAGACAGAATCATTCACAGAAACTACTTTGTGATGTGTGCATTCAGCTTACAGGGTTTAATCTTTCTTTTGATAGAACAGTTTTGAAACACTCTTTTTGTAGAATCCGGTAGTGAATATTTGGACTTTTTGGTGGCCTTCGTTGGAAACGGGATTTCTTTATATAAAACGTGATAGAAGAATTCTCAGGAACTTCTGTTTGATGTGTGCATTGAACTCACAGATTTGAACCTTCCTTTCGATAGAGCAGTTTTGAAATACTCTTTTTGTGGAATTTTCAAGTGGATATTTAGAGCGTTCTGTGGCCTCTGGTAGAAAAGGAAATATCTTCATAGAAAACCTAGACAGAATCATTCTCAGAAGCTTCTTTGTGATGTGTGCTTTCAGCATTCATAGTTCAACCTATCTTTTGATAGAGCAGTTCTGAAACACACTTTTTGTGGAATTTTCATGTGTATATTTAGAGCGATTTGTGGCCTACGGTAGAAAAGGAAATATCTTCACATAAAAACTAGACCGAAGCATTGTCAGAAAATCCTTTGTGATATTTGCATTCACCTCACAGAGTGGAACATTCCTCTTGATAGATCAGTTTTGAAACACTCTTTTTGTAGAATCTGCATGTGGATATTTTGATCTCTTCGTGGCCTTCGTTTGAAACGTGATTTCTTCATAAAAAACTAGACAGAATGATTCTCAGAAAATAGTTTGTGATGTGTGCGTTCAACTCAGAGAGTTTAACCTTTCTTTTGATAGAGCAGTTTAGAAACACTCTCTTTGTAGAATCTGCAAGTGAATATTCGGACTTTTAGAGGCCTTCTTTGGAAATGGTTTTCCTTCATATAAAACTTGACAGAAAAATTCTCAGAAACTTATTTGTGATGTGTGCATTCAACTTACAGATTTGTGCCTTCCTTTCGATTGACCAGTTTTGAAATACTCTTTTTGAAGAATTTCCAAGTGGATATTTAGAGCGATTTGAGGCCTGTGGTAAAAAAGCGAATGTCTTCTTAGAAAAACTAGAGAGAATCATTCTCAGAAACTGCTTTGTGATGTGTGCATTCAGCTAATAGAGTTTAACTTTCTTTTGATAAAGCAGTTTTGAAACACTCTTTCTGTGGAATTTACAAGTCTATATTTAAAGAACTTTGAGGCCTCCGGTAGAAAAGAAAATATCTTCACATAAAAACTAGACCGAAGCATTGTCAGAAACTACTTTGTGATATTTGCATTCAACTCACAGAGGTGAAAATTCCTTTTGATAGAAGAGTTTTGAAACTCTCTTTTTGTGGAATCTGCAAGTGGATATTTGGACCTCTTTGTGGCCTTCCTTTGAATCATGATTTCTTTATATAAAACTAGACAGAAGAATTCTCAGAATCTTCTTTGTGAAGTGGGTTTTCAACTCACAGAGTTGAAAATTCCTTTCGATAGAACAGTTTTGAGACTCTCATTTTTCAGAATTTCCAAGTGGATATTTAGCGCCGTTTAAGGCCTATTGTCGAAAAGGCCATATCTTCGTAGAAAAATTAGACATAATGATTCTCAGAAACTACTTTGTGATGTGTGCGTTCAACTCACAGAGTTGAAACTTCATTTCGATAGAGGAGTTTTGAAACTCTCTTTTTTTAGAATTTCCACGTCGATGTTTAGAGCCTTATCAGGCCTATGGAAGAAAAGGAAATATCTCAATAGAAAAACTAGACAGAATGATTTTCAGAATCTACTTTGTGATGTGTGCGTTCACCTCACACAGTTTAACCTTTCTTTTCATACAGCAGTTCTGAAACACTCTTTTTGTAGAATCTGCAAGAGAACATTTGGAATTTTTTGAGGCCTTCGTTGGAAAGGGGGTTTATTCATATAAAACTTGAAAGAAGAATTCTCAGACACTTCTTTCTGATGTGTGCATTCAACTCCCAGAGATGAATCTTCCTTTCGATAGAGCAGTTTTGAAATACAGTTTTTGTGGAATTTCCAAGTGGATATTTAGAACGGTTTGATGCCTTTGGTAGAAAAGGAAATATCTTCATAGGAAAACTAGAGAGAAACATTCTCAGAAACTGCTTTGTCATGTGTGCATTCAGCTTACAGCGTTTAACCTTTCTTTTGATAGAGCAGTTTTGAAAGGCTCTTTTTGAGTAATTTGCAAGACTATATAGATCTTTTGGGGCCTACGGTAGAAAACGAAATATCTTCACAAAAAATTAGACAGAAGCATTTTCAAAAACTACTTTGTGATATTTGCATTCAACTCACAGAGTTGAAAATTCTCCTTGAAAGAGCAGTTTTGAAATACTCTTTTTTCAGAATCTGCAATTTGGAACTCCTTGTGGTCTTCCTTTGAAATGTGATTTCTTCATATAAAACAAGACCGAGGAATTCTCAGAAGCTACTTTGTGATGTGTGCATTCAGCTTACAGAGTGAGTTTAACATTTCTTTTGATAAAGCAGATTTGAAACCCTCTTTTGGTGGAATTTGCAAGTGTATATTTAGAGCGCTTTGAGGCCTATGGTAGAAAATGAAATATCTTCACAGAAAAACTAAACAGAGGCATTGTAAGAAACTACTTTTTGATATTTGCATTCAACTCACAGAGTTGAACTGCTCTTGATGGAGCAGTTTTGAAACACTCTACTTGTAGAATCTGCAAGTGTATATTTGGACCTCTTTGTGGCCTTCCTTTGAAACGTGATTTCTTCATATAAAACAAGACAGAAGAATTCTCAGAAACTTCTTTGTGATGTGTGCATTCCACTCACAGAGTTGAACCTTTGTTTCGATAGAGCAGTTTTGAAATTCTCTTTTTGTAGAATTTCCAAGGTAATATTAAGCATCGTTTGAGGCCTCTGGTAGAAAAGGAAATATCTTCATAGAAAACCAAGACAGAATGATTCTCAGAAACTACTTTGTGATGTGTGAGTTCCACTCACAGAGTTTAACCTTTCTTTTGATAGAGCAGTTTTGAAACACTCTTTTTGTAGAATCTGAAAGTGAATATTTGGACTTTTTTGAGGCCTTACTTGCAAACGGGATTTCTTCATATAAAATTTGACAGAAGAATTCTCGGAAATTTCTTTGTGATGTGTGCATTGAACACACAGAGTTGAACCTTCCTTTAGATAGAGCAGTTTTGAAATACTCTTTTTGTAGTATTTCCAAGTGGATATTTAGATCGGTTTGGGGCCCGTGGTAGAAAAGGAAATATTTCATAGAAAAAGTAGAATCATTCTCAGAAACTGCTTTGTGATGTGTGCATTCAGGTTACAGTGTTTAACCTTTCTTTTCTTAGAGCCGTTTTGAAAAACACTTTTTGTATAACCGGCAGGTGAATATTTGTCCTTTTTGGGGGCCTTCGTAGGAAACGGGATTTCTTCAAATAAAACTTGACAGAAGAATTATCAGAAACTTCGTTTTGATGTGTGCATTCAACTCAAAGAGTTAAACCATCCTTTCGATAGAGCAGTTTTGAAATACTCTTTTTTTAGAATTTCCAAGTGGATATTTAGAGCGGTTTGAGGCCTTTGGTATAAAAGGAAATATCTTCATAGAAAAACTAGACACAATCATTCTCAGAAACTACTTTGTTATGTGAGCATTCAGCTTACGGAGTTTAATATTTCAATTGATAAAGCAGTTTTGAAACACTCTTTTTGTGGAATTTGCAGGTGTATATTTACAGCGCTATGAGGCCTACGGTAGGAAAGGAATTATCTTCAAATAAAAACTAGTCAGAAGCATTGTCAGAAACTAATTTGTGATATTTGCATTCAACTCACAGAGTTGAACATTCCTATTGATAGAGCAGGTTTGAAATACTCTTTTTGTAGAATCTGCCAGTGAATATTTGGAACTCTTTGTGGCCTTCGTTTGAAACGTGATTTCCTCATATAAAACTAGACAGAAGAATTCTCAGGAACTTCTTTGTGATGTGTGCTTTCAACTCACAGAGTTGAACCTTCGTTTAGATAGAGCTGTTTTGAAACTCTCATTTTGTAGAATTTCCAAGTGGATATTTAGCGCCCTTTGAGGCCTATGATAGAAAAGACAATATCTTCATTGAAAAACTAGACAGAATATTTCTCAGAAACTAGTTTGTGATGTATGTGTTTAATTCACAGAGGTTAACCTTTCTTTTGATAGAGCAGTTTTGAAACACTCTTTTTTGTAGAATCTGCAAGTGAAGATTTGGCCTTTTTGGGGGCCTTCATTGGAAACGGGTTTTCTTCATATAAAACTTGACAGAAGAATTCTCAGAAACTTCTTTGTGATGTGTGCATTCAACTCATAGAGTTGAATCTTCCTTTAGATAGACCAGTTTTTAAACACTCTTTTGGTATTATTTCCAAGTGGATATTTAGAGTCGTTGTAGGCCTGTTATAGAAAAAGAAATATCTTCATAGAAAAACTAGACAGAATCATTGTCAGAAACTACTTTGTGACGTGTTCATTCAGCATACAGTGTTTAAGCTTTCTATTGTTAGAGCAATTTTGAAACACCCTTTTTGTGGAATTTGCAAGTGTATATTTAGAGCGCTATGAGGCCTACGGTAGGAAAGGAAATATCTTCAAAGAAAAACTAGACAGAAGCATTGTAAGTAACTAGTTTGTGATATTGGCATTCATCCCACAGAGTTGAACATTCCTCTTCATAGAGCAGTTTTGAAACACTCTGTTTGTAGAATCTGTCAGCGGATATTTGGACCTCTTTGCGTCCTTCGTTTGAAACGTGATTTCTTCATATAAATATATACAGAAGAATTCTCAGAAACTTTTTTGATGTGTGCTTCAACTCACAGAGTTGAACTTTCCTTTCGATACAGCAGTTTTGAAACTCTTTTTTTGTAGAAATTCCAAGTGGATATTTAGCCCCTTTTGAGGCCTATGGTTGAAAATGCAATATCTTCATAGAAAAACAAGACTGAATGATTCTCAGAAGCTTCTTTGTGATGTGTGCTTTCAACTCACAGAGTTTAAACTATCTTTTGATACAGCAGTTTTGAAACACTCTTTTTGTGGAATTTGCAAGTGTATGTTTAGAGAGCTTTGAGGCCAAACCTAGAAAAGGAATTATCTTCACATAAAAACTAGACAAAAGCATTGCCAGAAACTACTTTGTGATATTTGCATTCAACTCACAGAGTTGAACATTGTTCTTGATAGAGCAGCTATGAAACACTCTTTTTGAAGGATCTGCGAGTGGATATTTCGACCTCTTTGTGGTCTTTGTTTGAAACGTGATTTCTTAATACAAAACAAGACAGAAGAATTCTCAGAAACTTCTTTGTGATGTGTGCTTTCAACTCACAGAGTTGAACCTTCCTTTCAATAGAGCAGTTTTGAAACGCTCTTTTTGTATAATTTCCAAGTGGACATTTAGCACCGTTTGAGGCCTATAGCAGAAAGGGCAATATCTTCATAGAAAAACTGGACAGAATGATTCTCAGAATCTACTTTGTGATGTGTGAGTTCAACTCTCTGACTTTAACCTTCTTTGATAGAGCAGTTTTGAAACTCTCGTTTGGTAGAATTTCCTAGTGGATATTTTGCGCTATTTGAGGCCTATGGTAGAAAAGGCCATATCTTCAAAGAAAAACTAGACAGAATGATTATCAGAAACTACGTTGTGATGTGTGCGTTTAACTCACAGAGTTTAACCTTTCTTTTCATAGAGTAGTTTTGAAACACTCTTTTTGTGGAATCTGCAAGTGAATAATTGGACTTTTGGGGGGCCTTCTTTGGAAACGGGATTACTTCATGTAAAACGTGACAGAACAATTCTCAGAAACTTCTTTGTGATGTGGGCATTCAACTCACAGTGTTGAACCTTCCTTTTGATAGAGCAGTTTTGAAATACTCTTTTTGCAGAATTTCCAACTGGATATTTTTTGCGTTTGGAGGACTGCTAGATAAGGAAGTATCTTCATAGAAAGACTAGACAGAATCATTGTAAGAAACTGTTTTGTGATGTGAGCATTCCGCTTACAGGGTTTAACATTTCTTTTGATGGAGCAGTTTGGAAACACTCTTTTTGTGGAATTTGCAAGTGTATATTTAGAGCGCTTTGAGGCCAACGGTAGAAAAAGAATTATCTTCACATAAAAACTAGACAGAAGCATTGTGAGAAACTACTTTGTGATATCTGATTTCAACTCACAGAGTTGAACATTCCTCTTGATAGAGCAGTTAGGAAACACTGTTTTTGTAGAATCTGCATGTGTATATTTGGACCTCTTTTTGGCCTTCATTTGAAACGTGATTTCTTCATATAAAACTAGACAGAAGCATTGTCAGGAACTACTTTGTGATGTGTGCTTTCAACTCACAGAGTTGAAACTTCCTTTCGATAGAGCAGTTTTGAAATACTCTTTTTGTAGTATTTCCAAGTGGATATTTAGAGTGGTTTGAGGCCTGTCGTACAAAAGGAAATATCTCATAGGAAAACTAGACAGAAACATTCTCAGAAACTACTTTGTGATGTGTGCATTCAGCTTACAGAGTTTAACATTCATTTGTTAGAGCAGTTTTGAAACACAGTTTTTGTGGAATTTGCAAGTATTTATTTAGAGCGCTTTGTGGCATTCGGTAGAAAAGGAATTATCTTAACATAAAAACTAGAAAGAATCTTTGTCAGAAACTACTACGTGATATTTGCATTCAATTCACGTAGCTGAACATTGCTCTTGATAGAGCAGTTTTGAAACACTCTTTTTTGTGAATCTGTGAGTGGATATTTTGACCTCTTTGTGGTCTTCGTTCGAAACGTGATTTCTTCATATAGTACTAGACAGAAGAAATCTCAGAAACTTCTTTGTGGTGTGTGCTTTCAACTCATAGAGTCGAAACTTCCTTTTGATAGAGCAGTTTTCAAACTCTCTTTTTGTAGAATTTCCAAGTGGATATTGAAGCGCCGTTTTAGACCTATGGTAGAAAAAGCAATATCTTCATAGAAAAACAAGACAGAATGATTCTCAGAAACTACTTTGTGATGTGTGCTTTCAACACACAGAGTTTAACTTTCTTTTGATAGAGCAGTTTTGAAACACTCTTTTTATAGAATCTGCAAGTAAATATTTGGACATTTTTGGGGCCTTCATTGGAAACGGGATTTCTTCACATAAAACTTGACAGAAGAATTCTCAGAAACTTCTTTGTGATGTGTGCATTCAACTCACAGAGTTGAACATTCCTTTCGATAGAGCAGTTTTGAAGCACTCTTTTTGTAGAATTTCCAATTTTATATTTAGAAAGGTTTGAGGCCTGTGGTAGAAAAGGAAATATCTTCATAGAAAAACTAGACAGAATCATTCTCCGAAACTACTTTGTGATGTGTGCATTCAGCTTACAGAGTTTAACATTCATTTGACAGGGCAGTTTTAAAACACTCTTTTTGTGGAATTTGTCAGTGTATATTTAGAGGGCTTTGGGACCTACGGTAGAAAAGGAATTATCTTTACATAAAAACTAGAGAGAAGCACTGTCCGAAACTACTTTGTGATATTTGTAATCAACTCACTGAGTTGAACATTACCCTTGATAGAGTTGTTTTGAAACACTGCTTTTGTAGAATCTGCAGGTGGATATTTGGACCTCAAGTGGCCTTTTTTGAAATGTGATTTCTTCATATAATACAACACAGAATAATTCTCAAAAACTTCTTTGTGATGTGTGCTTTCAACTCACAGATTTAAACCTTCCTTTTGGTAATACAGTTTTGAAAGTCCCTCTTTGTAGAATTTCCAAGTGGATATTTAGCGCCGTCAGAGGCCTACGGTAGACAAAGTAATATCTTCATAGAAAAACTAGACACAATGATTCTCAGAAACTACTTTGTGATGTGTGCGTTCAACTCACAGAGTTTAAACTTTCTTTTGATAGTGCAGTTTTGAAACACACTTTTGAGAGAATCTGCAGGAGAATATTTGGACTTTTTTGAGGCCTTCTTTGGAAAAGGTTTTCCTTCATATAAAACTTGACAGAAAAATTCTCAGAAACTTATTTGTGATGTGTGCATTCAACTTACAGATTTGTGCCTTCCTTTCGATTGACCAGTTTTGAAATACTCTTTCTGAAGAATTTCCAAGTGGATATTTAGAGCGATTTGAGGCCTGTGGTAAAAAAGCGAATGTCTTCTTAGAAAAACTAGAGAGAATCATTCTCAGAAACTGCTTTGTGATGTGTGCATTCAGCTAACAGAGTTTAACTTTCTTTTGATAGAGCAGTTTTGAAACACTCTTTCTGTGGAATTTACAAGTCTATATTTAAAGAACTTTGAGGCCTCCGGTAGAAAAGAAAATATCTTCACATAAAAACTAGACCGAAGCATTGTCAGAAACTACTTTGTGATATTTGCATTCAACTCACAGAGGTGAAAATTCCTTTTGATAGAAGAGTTTTGAAACTCTCTTTTTGTGGAATCTGCAAGTGGATATTTGGACCTCTTTGTGGCCTTCCTTTGAATCATGATTTCTTTATATAAAACTAGACAGAAGAATTCTCAGAATCTTCTTTGTGAAGTGGGTTTTCAACTCACAGAGTTGAAAATTCCTTTCGATAGAACAGTTTTGAGACTCTCATTTTTCAGAATTTCCAAGTGGATATTTAGCGCCGTTTAAGGCCTATTGTCGAAAAGGCCATATCTTCGTAGAAAAATTAGACATAATGCTTCTCAGAAACTACTTTGTGATGTGTGCGTTCAACTCACAGAGTTAAACCTTTCTTTTGATTGAGCAGTTTTGAAACACTCTTTTTGTAGAATCGGCAAGTGAATATTTGGACTTCTTGAGGCCTTCGTTGGAAACGGGAGTTCTTCATATAAAACTTGACAGAAGAATTCCATACACTACTTTGTGATGTGTGCATTCATCTCACAGAGTTGAACCTTCCTTTCGGTAGAGCAGTTTTGATATACTCCTTTTGTAGAATTTCCAAGTGGATATTTAGAGCAGTTTGAGGCCTGTCGTACAAAAGGAAATATCTCATAGGAAAACTAGACAGAATCATTCTTAGAAACTACTTTGTGATGTGTACATTCAGCTTACAGAATTTAACTTTTCTTTTGATAGAGCAGTTTTGAAACAATCTCTTTGTGGAATTTGCAAGTGTATATTTAGAGCGCTTTGAAGGCTTCTGTAGAAACTGAAATATCTTCACATAAAAACGAGACGGAAGCTTTGTCAGAAACTAGTTTGTGATATTGGCATTCAACTCACAGAGTTGAAAATTAGTCTTGATAGAGCAGTTTTGAGACACTCATTTTGTTGAATTTCCAAGTGGATATTTAGCACGGTTTGAGGCCTATGGTAGAAAAGGAAATATCTTCATAGAAAAACCAGTCAGAATGATTCTCAGAAACTACTCTGTGATGTGTGTATTCAACAGAGAGTGTTTAACTTTGCTTTTCATAGAGGAATATTGAAACACTCATTTTGTAGAATCTGCAATGAATATTTGGACTTTTTAGAGCCCTTCGTTGGAAACGGGATTTCTCCATATAAAACTTGACAGAAGAATTCTCAGAAACTTCTTTCTGATGTGTGCATTCAACTCACAGTGTTGAACCGTCCTTTCGTTAGAGCAGATTTGAAATACTCTTTGTAGTATTTCCAAGTGGATATTATGGGCGGTTTGGGGCCTATGGTACAAAAGGAAATATCTTCATAGAAAAACTACACAAAATCATTCTCAGAAACTCCTTTGTGATGTGTGCATTCAGCTTACAGAGTTTAACCTTTCTTTTGATAGAGCAGTTTTGAAACACTCTTTTTGTGGAATTTCCAAGTCCATAATTAGCACCGTTTTAGGCCTGTGGTAGAAAAGGAAATATCTTCATAGAATGACTAGACAGAATGATTCTCAGAAACTAATTTGTGATGTTTGCGTTCTACTCACAGAGTTTAATCTTTCTTTTGATAGAGCAGTTTTGAACCACTTTTTTTGTAGAAACTACAAGTGAATATCCGGACTTTTATGAGGTCATTGTTGGAAACAGGATTTCTTCATATAAAATATGACAGAAGAATTCTCAGAAAATTCTTTGTGATGTGTGCTTTCAACTCACAAAGTTGAACCGTCCTTTCGATACAGCAGTTTTGAAACTCTCTTTTTGTAGAATTAACAAGTGAATATTTAGGGCCGTTTGAGGCCTATGGTAGAAAAGGCACTATCTTCATAGAAAAACAAGACAGAAAGATTCTCAGAAACTACTTTGTGATGTGTGCATTCTACTCACAGAGTTTAACATTTCTTTTGATAGAGCAACTTTGAAGCACTATTTTTGTAGAATCTGCAAGTGAATATTTGGACTTTTTAGAGGCCTTCTTTGGAAAAGGGATTTTTTCATCTAAAACTTGACAGAAGAATTCTCAGAAACTTCTTTGTGATGTGTGCTTTCAACTCACTGTATTGAACCTTCCTTTAGATAGAGCAGTTCTTAAATACTCTATTTGTAGGATTTCCAAGTGGATATTTAGAGCGGTTTGAGGCCTATGGTAGGAAATAAAATATATTCAGAGAAAAACTAGACAGTATCATTCTCCGAAACTACTTTGTGATGTGTGCATGCAGCTTACATAGTTTAACGTTCCTTTTGATAGAGCAGTTTTGAAACATTCTTTTTGGGGAATTTGCAAGTGTATATTTAGAGCGCTTTGAGGTCTACGGTAGAAAAGGAAATATCTTCACATAAAAAATAGACAGAAGCATTGTCGGAAACTACTTCGTGATATTTGCCTTCAACTCACAAAGTTGATCATTCCTCTTGATAGAGCAGTTTTGAAACACTTTTTTAGTAGAATCTGGAGGTGGATATTTGGTCCTCTTTGTAGCATTCCTTTGATACGTGATTTCTTCATATACAACTAAAGAGAAGAATTCTCAGAAACATCTTTGTGATGTGTGCTTTCAACTCACAGAGTTGAACCTTCCTTTCGATAGAACAGTTTTGAAATTCATTTTGTAGAATTTCCAAGTAGATATTTAGTGCCGTTTGAGGACTATGGTGGAAAAGGAAATATCTTCATAGAAAAACTAGACAGAATGATTCTCAGAAACTACTTTGTGGTGTGTGTGTTCACCTCACAGAGTTTAACCTTTCTTTTGATAGAGCAGTTTTGAAACACTCTTTTTGTAGAATCTGTAATGGAATATTTGGATTTTTTGAGGCCTTCTTTGGAAAAGGGATTTCTTCATATAAATGTTAACAGAAGAAATCTCAGAAACTTTTTGTGAAGTGTGAATTCACCTCACAGAGTTGTACCTTCCTTTCGATAGACCAGTTTTGAAATACTCTTTTTGCAGAATTTCCAAGTAGATGATATTTAGAGCGGTTTGAGGCCTGTGGCAGAAAAGGTAATATCTTCATAGAAAAACTAGAGAGAATCATTCTCAGAAACTAGTTTTTGATGTGTGCATTCAGCTTATATAGTTTAACCTTTCTTTTTATACAGCAGTTTTGAAAAACTCTTTTTGTGGAATTTGGAAATGTATATTTAGAGTGCTTTGAGGCCTACGGTAGAAAAGGAATTATCTTCACATAAAAACTAGATAGAAGCATTATCAGAAACTAATTTTTGATATTTGTATTCAACTCACAGAGTTGAACATTCCTCTTGATAGAGCAGTTTTGAAACACTCTTTTTGTACAATCTGCGATTCGATATTTGCACCTCTTTGTGTCCTTCGTTTGAAAAGTGATTTCTTCATATAAAACTAGACAGAAGAATTTTCAAAATCTTCTTTGAGATGTGTGCTTTCAACTCACAGAGTTGTACCTTCCTTTCGATAGAGGAGTTTTGAAACTCTCTTTTTGTAGTATTTCCAAGTGGATATTTAGCGCTGTTTGGGGCCTGTGGTAGAAAAGGCAATATCTTCATAGAAAAACTAGACAAAATGATTCTCAGAAACTACGTTGTGATGTGTGCGTTCAACTCACAGAGTTTAACCTTTCATTCGATAGAGAGGTTTTGAAACAATCTTTTTGTTGAATCTGCAAGTGAATATTTGGAGTTGTTTGAGGCCTTCGTTGGAAATGGGATTTCTTCCTATAAAACTTGACAGAGGAACTCTCAGAAGCTTCTTTGTGATGTGTGCATTCACCTCACAGAGTTGAACCTTCCTTTCCATAGAGCAGTTTTGAAATACTCTTTTTATTGTATTTCCAAGCGGATATTTAGAGCGGTTTGAGGCCTATGGTAGAAAAGGAAATATCTTCACTGAAAAATTATTCAGAATCATTCTCAGAAAGTACTTTTTGTTGTGTGCATTCAGCTTACATAGATTAAACATTCTTTGATAGAGCAGTTTGGAAACTCACTTTTTGTGGAATTTCCAAGTGTATATTGTGAGTGCTTTGAGGCCTACGGTAGAAAAGGAAATATGTTCACAAAAAAACAAGACGGAAGCATTGTCAGAAACTACTTTGAGATATTTGCATTCAACCCACAGAGTTTAACATTCCTCTTGATAGAGCAGTTTTGAAACACTCTTTTTGCAGAATCTGCAAGTGGATATTTGAACCTCTTTGTGGCCTTCGTTTGAAACATGATTTCTTCACACAAAACTAGAGAGAGGAATTCTCAAAAACTTCTTGTGATTTGTGCTTTCAACTCTCAGATTGAAAATTACTTTCGATAGAGCAGTTTTGAAACTCTCTTTTTGTAGGATTTCCAAGTGGATATTTAACGTCATTTGAGGACTCTGGTAGAAAAGGTAATATCCTCATAGAAAAACTAGACAGAATGATTCTCAGAAACTGCTTTTTGATGTGTGCCTTCAACTCACAGAGTTTAAACTTCCTTTAGATAGAGCAGTTTTGAAACACCTTTTTGTAGAATCTGTAAGTGAATATTTGGACTTTTTTGAGGCCTTCATTGGAAACGGGATTTCTTCATATAAAACCTGACCGAAGAACTCTCAGAAACTTCTTTGTAATGTGTGCATTCAAGTCACAGAGTTCAACTTCCTTTTGATAGTGCTGTTTAGAAATAGTCTTTTTGTAGGATTTCGAAGTGGATATTTAGTGCGGTTTGAGGCTTGTTGTAGAAAAGGATATATCTTCATAAAAAACCTAGATAGAATCATTCTCAGAAACTAATTTGGTATGTTTGCATGCAACTTACGGAGATTAACATTTCTTTGGTTAGAGCAGTTTGGAAACACTCTTTTTGTGGAATTTGCAAGTGTATATTTAGAGCGCTTTGAGGCCTCCGTTGGAAAAGGAAATATCTTCACATAAAAACAAGACAAAAGCATTGTCAGAAACTACTTCGTGATGTTTGCATTCAACTCACAGAGTTGAACATTCCTCTTGACAGAGCAGTTTGGAAACACTCTTTTTGTAGAATCTGCAAGTGGATATTTGCACCGCTTTGTGCCCTTCGTTTGAAACGTGATTGCTTCGTTTGAAACGTGTTTGCTTCATTTAAAACTAGACAGAGGAATTCTCAGAAATTTCTTTGTGATGTGTGCTTTCAACTCACAGAGTTGAACCTTCCTTTGGATTTAGGAGTTTTGAACTCTCGTTTTGTAGAATTTCCAAGTAGATATTTTGGGCCGTGCGAGGCCTACAGTAGAAAAGGCAATTTCTTCATAGAAAACCTAGACAGAATGATTCTCAGAAACTACTTTGTTATGTGTGCGTTCAACTCACAGAGTTTAACCTTTCTTTTGATAGAGTTTTGAAACACTCTTTTTGAAGAATCTGCAAGTGAATATACGGATTTTTTTGAGGCCTTCGTTGGAAGAGGGATTTCTTCATATAAAACTTCGCAGAAGGATTCTCAGAATCTTATTTTTGATGTGTGCATTCAACTCACAAAGTTGTACCTTCCTTTCAATAGAGCAGTTTTGAAATAATTTTCTGTAGAATTTCCAAGTGGATATTTAGAGCGATTTGAGGCCTATGGCAGAAAAGGAAATATCTTCATATAAAAACTAGACAGAATCCTTCTCAGAAACTACTTTGTGATGTGTGCATTCTGCTAAAAGGATTTAAACTTTGTTTTGATAGAGCAGTTTTGAAACACTCTTTTTGTGGAATTTGCAAGTGTATAATTTATAGCGCTTTGATGCCTGTGTTAGAAAGGAAATATCGTCACATAAAAACTAGACAGAAGCACTGTCAGAAACAACTTTGTGATATTTGCATTCAACTCACAGAGTTGAACATTCCTCCTGATAGAGCAGTTTTGAAACCCTCTTTTTGTAGAATCTGCAAGTGGATATTTTGACCTCTTTGTGGCCTTCCTTTGAAACGTGATTTCTTCATATGAAACTAGACAGAAGAATTCTCAGAAAATTCCTTGTGGTGTGTGCTTTCAAATCACAGAGTTGAACCTTCCTTTCGATAGAGCAGTTTTGAAACTGTCTTTTGTAGAATATCCAAGTGGATATTTAACGCCGTTTGAGGCCTTTGGTAGAAAAGGCATTATCCTCATAGGAAAACTAAACAGAAATATTCTCAGAAACTACTTTGTGATCTGTGCGTTCAACTCTCAGAGTTTAACCTTCCTTTTGACAGAGCAGTTTTGAAACACACTTTTTGTAGAATCTGCAAGTGAATATTTGGACTTTTTTCAGGCTTTCATTGGGAAAGGGATTTCTTCATATCAAACTTGACAGAATTCTCAGAAACTTCTTTGTGATGTGTGCATTCGACTAGCAGTGTTGAACCTTCCTTTCGATACAGCAGTTTTGAAAAACTCTTTTTGTAGAATTTCCAGGTGGATATTTAGAGCGGTTTGAGGTCTCTTTTAGAAAAGGAAATGTCCTCATAGAAAAACTAGACAAAATCATTCTCAGAAACTACTTTGTTATGTGTGCATTCAGCTTACCGAGTTTAACCTTTCTTTTGATAGAGCAGTTGGGAAACACTCTTTTTGTGGAATTTGCAAGGGTATATTTAGAGCGCTTTGAGGACTACGGTAGAAAAGGAAATATCTTCATATAAAAAGTAGACAGAAGCATTGTCAGAAACTACTTTGTGATATTTGCATTCAACTCACAGAGTTGAACATTCCTCTTGATAGAGCAGTTTTGAAACACACTTTTTGTAGAATCTGCAATTGTATATTTGTACCTCTTTGTGGCCTTTCTTTGAAACGTAATGTCATCATATAAAACTAGACAGAATAATTCTCAGAAACTACTTTGTGATGTGTGATTTCAGCTTACAGATTTGAACCTTCCTTTCGATATAGCAGTTTTGAAATACTATTTTTGTAGAAATTAAAAGTGGTTATGTAGAGCGGTTTGAGGCCTGTGGTAGAAAAGGAAATATCTGCATAGAAAAACTAGACAGAATCATTCTCAGAAAGTACTTTGCAAGAGTGCATTCATCTTACAGAGTTTAACCTTTCATTTGATAGAGCAGTTTTGAAACACTCTTTTTGTGGAATTTGCAAGTGTATATTTAGAGCGATTTGAAGACTACGGTAGAAAAGCAAATATCTTCAAATAATAACTAGACAGAAGCATTGTCAGAAACTACTTTGTAATATTTGCATTCAACTCACAGAGTTGAACATTCCTCCTGATAGAGCAGTTTTGAAACCCTCTTTTTGTAGAATCTGCAAGTGGATATTTGGACTTCTTTGTGGCCTTTTTTTGAAACGTGATTTCATTTTATAAATCTAAACTGAAGAATTCTCAGAAACTTCTTTGTGATGTGTGCTTTCAACTCACATAGTTGAAGCTTCCTTTCGATAGAGCAGTTTTGGAAGTCTTTTTTTGTACAATTTCCATGTGGATATTTAGCGCCATTTGAGGCCTCTGTTAGAAAAGGAAATATCTTCATAGGAAAACTAGACAGAATGATTCTCAGAAACTACTTTGTGATGTGTGCTTTCAACTCACAGAGTTTAACCTTTCTTTTGACAGAGCAGTTTTGAAACACTCTTTTTGCAGGATCTGCAACTGAATATTTGGACTTTTACGAGGCCTTTTCGGAAACGGGAATTCTTCATATAAAACTTGACAGAAGAATTCTAAGAAACTTATTTGTGATGTGTGCATTCAACTCAGAGTTGAACCTTCCTTTCGATACAGCAGTTTTGAGACACTCTTTTTGTGGAATCTGCAAGTGAATATTTGGACATTTTTAGGCCTTCTTTGGAAAAGGGATTTCTTTACATAAAACCTGACAGAAGAATCCTCAGAAACTATTCTGTGACGTGTGCTTTCAACTCACAGCGTTGAACCTTCCTCTCGATAGAGCATTGTTGAAATCCTCCTTTTGTAGAATTTCCAAATGGATATTTAGTTCGTTTTGGGGCCTGTGGTAGAAAACGAAATATGTTCATAGAAAAACTAGACAAAATCATTCTCAGAAACTACTTTGTGATGTGGGCATTCAGCTTACAGGGTTTAACCTTTCTTTATATAGAGCAGTTTTGAAACAATCTTTTTGTAGTATTTGCAAATGTATATTTACAGCGCTTTGATGCCTATGGTAGAAAAGGAAATATCTTCACAGAAAAAATAGACAGAATCATTGTCAGAAACTGCGTTGTGATATTTGCATTCAACTCACAGGGTTGAACATTCCTCTTTATAGAGCAGTTTAAAACACTCTTTTTGTAGAATCTGTAAGTGGATATTTAGACTTCCTTGTGGCCTTCGTTTGAAACGTGATTTCTACATATGAAACTAGACAGAATAATTCTCAGAAACTTCTTTGTGATGTGTGCTTTCAACTCACAGATTTGAATCTATCTTTCGATAGAGCAGTTTTGAATCTCTCTTTCTGTAGAATTTCCAAGTGGATATTTAGCGCCGTTTGAGGCCTGTTGTAGAAAAGGAAATATCTTCATAGAAAAACTATACAGAATGATTGTCAGCAGCTACTTTGTGATGTGTGCGTTCAACTCCCATGGTTCAAACTTTCTTTTGATAGAGCAGATTTGAAACCCACTTTTTGTAGAATCTGCAAATGAATATTTCGGTTATTTTAAGGCCTTCTCTGGATACGGGATTTCTTCGTATAAAACGTGACAGAAGAATTCTCAGAAACTTCTAGTGATGTGTGCATTCAACTCACAGGTTTGAACCTTCCTTTCGATAGAGCAGTTTTGAAATACTATTTTTTTTGTAGTTTTTCCAAGTGGTTATTTAGAGTGGTTTGAGGTCTCTGGTAGAAAAAGAAATATCTTCACAGGAAAACTAGACAGAATCATTCTCAGAAACTTCTTTGTGATTTGGGCATTCAACTTACAGAGTTTAAATTTTCTTTTGATAGAGCAGTATTGAAACACTCTTTCTGTGGAATTTGCAAGTGTATATTTGGAGCTCTTTGAGAACTATTGTAGAAAAGGAAATATCTTCCCATAAAAACCAGACAGAAGCACTGTAAGAAACTGCTTTGTGATATTTGCACTCAACTCACAGAGTTGAATATTCCTCTTGATAGAGCAGTTTTGAAACATTCTTTTTGTAGAATCTGCGAGTGTATATTTGGACCTCTTTGTGGTCTTCTTTAGAAACGTGATTTCTTCGTATAAAACTACACAAAACAATTCTGATAAACTTCTTTGTGATGTGTGCTTTCAACTCACAGAGTTGAACCTTCATTTCGATAGAGCAGTTTTGAAATAATCTTCTTGAAGTATTTCCAAGTGAATATTTAGAGCGGCTTGAGGCCTGTGGTAGAAAAGGAAATATCTTCTTAGAAAAACTAGACAGAATCATTCTCAGATACTTCTTTGTGATGTGTGCATTCAGATAACAGAGTTTAATCTTTCTTTTCATTGAGCAGTTTTGAAACATTCTTTTTGTGGTATTTGTAAGTGTATATTTAGAGCGCTTTGAAGCCTACTTTTGAAAAGGAAATTTCTTCAAATAAAAACTAGACAGAAGCATTGTCAGAAACTACTTTGTAGTATTTGCAATCAACTCACAGAGTTGAATATTCCTCTTGACAGAGCAGTTCTGAAACACTCTTTTTGTAGAAACTGCAAGTGGATATTTCGACCTCTTTGTGGCCTTCGCTTGAAAAGTGATTTCTTCAAATAAAACTAGACAGAAGAATTCTCAGAAACTTCTTTGTGATGTGTGCTTTCAACTCATAGAGTTGATCCTTCCTTTCGATAGAGCAGTTTTGAAACTCTCATTTTGTAGAATTTCCAAGTGGATATTTATTGCCGTTTGAGGCCTATTGTAGAAAAGGCAATAATTTCATAGAAAAGCTAGACACAATCATTCTCAGAAACTACTTTGTGGTGTGTGCGTTCAACTCACAGAGTTTAACCTTTCTTTTGATAGAGCAGTTTAGAAAAACTCTTTTTGTAGAATCTGCAAGGGAATATTTCGACTTATTTCAGGCCTTCGTTGGAAACGGGTTTTATTCATACAAAACTTGACAGAAGAATTCTCGTTAACTTCTTTGTGATGTGTGCATTCAAGTCACAGAGTTGAACCTTCCTTTGGATAGAGAAGTTTTGAAATTCTCTTTTTGCAGAATTTCCAAGTGGTTATTTAGAGCGGTTTGAGGCCTATGGTAGAAAAGAAAATATCTTCATAGAAAAATTAGGCAGAATCATTCTCAGAAACTACTTTGTGATGTGTGCATTCAGCTTATACAATTTAACCTTTTTTTTGATACAGCAGTTTTGAAACCCTCTTTTTGTGGAATTTGGAAGTGTATATTTAGATGGCTTTGAGGCCTACAGTAGAAAAGGAAATATCTTCACATAAAAACAAGACAGAAGCATTGTCATAAACTACTTTGTGATATTTCCATGCAACTCACACAGTTGAACGTTCCTCTTGATAGAGCAGTTTTGAAACACTCTTTTTGTAGAATCTGCATGTGGATATTTGGACCTCTTTTTTGCCTTCCTTTGAAAAGTGATTTCTTCATATAGAACTAGACAGAAGAATTCTCAGAAAATTCTTTGTGATGTGTCCATTCAACTCTCAGAGTTGAACCTTCCTTTCAATAGAGCAGTTTTGAAATACTCTTTTTGTAGAATTTCCAAGTTGATGTTTAGCACCGTTTGAGGCATATGGTAGAAAAGGAAATATCTTGATAGAAAACCTGTACAAAATCATTCTGAAAAAACTACTTCCTGATGTGTGCATGAAGCTTACAGAGTTTAACCTTTCCTTTGATAGAGCAGTTTTGTAACACTCTTTTTGGGGAATTTGCAAGTGTATATTTAGAGCGCTTTGAGGGCTACGGTAGAAAAGGAAATATCTTCACAATAAAACTAGACAGAAGCATTGTCAGAAACTACTTTGTGATATCTGCATTCAACTCACAGAGCTGAACATTTCTTTTGATAGAGAAGTTTTGAAACTCTCTTTTTGTAGAATTTCCAGGTGTATATTTAGCACCGTTTGAGGCCTATGGTATAAAAGAACATATCTTCATAGAAAAATTAGACAGAAAGAGTCTCAGAAACTATTTTGTGATGTGTGCATTCAACTCACAGAGTTTAACCTTTCTTTTGATAGAGCAGTTTTGAAACACTCTTTTTGTAGAACCTGCAAGTGAATATTTGGACTTTTTAGAGGCCACTATTGAAAACGGGGTTTCTTCATATAAAACTTGACAGAAGAATTATCAGAAACTCCATTGTGATGTGTGCTTTCAACTCACAGAGTTGAAACTTCTTTTCGATAGAGCAGTTACGAAACTCTGTTTTTGTAGAATTTCCAAGTGGATATTTAGCACCGTTTGAAGCCTATGTAGTAAAGGCCGTATCTTCATGGAAAAACTAGACAGAATGATTCTCAGAAACTACTTTGTGATGTGTGCATTCAATTCACAGAGTTTAACCTTTCTTTTGATAGAGCAGTTTTGAAAGACTCTTTGTGTAGAATCTGCAAATGAATATTTGGATTTTTCTGAGGCCTTATTTGGCAACGGGATTTCTTCATATAAGACTTGTCAGAAGAATTCTCCGAAACTTCTTAGTGATGTGTGCATTCAACAGACAGAGTTGAACATTCCTTTCGATACAGCAGTTTTGAAATAATCTTTTTGTAGAATTTCCAAGTGGATATTTAGTGCGATTTGAGGCCAATGATTGAAAAGAAAATATCTTCATATAAAAACTAGACAGAATCATTCTCAGAAACTACTTTGTGATGGGTGCATTCAGCTTACAGTGTTTAAACTTTCCTTTGATAGAGCAGTTTTGAAACACTATTTTTGTGGTATTTGCAAGTGTCTATTTAGAGCGCTTTGAAGCCTAAGGTAGAAAAGAAATAACTTCAAATAAAAACTAGACAGAAGCATTGTCAGAAACTAATTTGCGATAGTTGCTTTCAACTCACAGTGTTTAACATTGCTCTTCATAGAGCAGTTTTGAAAAACTTTTTTTGTAGAACCTGCAAGTGGATATTTCGACCTCATTGTGGCCTTCGTTTGAAAAGTGATTTCTTCATATAAAACTAGAAAGAAGAATTCTCAGAAATTCTTTGTGATGTGTGCTTTCAACTCACAGAGTTGTATTTTTCTTTCGATAGAGCAGTTCTGAAACTCCTCTATTTTTGTAGAATTTCCTAGTGGATATTTACCACCGTTTGAGGCCAATTGTAGAAAAGGAAATATCTTCATAGAAAAACTAGACAGAATGATTCTCTGAAACTACATTGTGATATGTGCGTTCAACTCACAGAGTTTTATCTTTCTTTTGATAGAGCAGTTTTGAAACACACAATTTGTAGAATCTGCAAGTGAATATTTGGACTTTTCGAGGTCTTCATTGGAAACGGAATTCCTTGAAATAAAACTGGACAGAAGAATTCTCAGAAACTTCATTGTGATGTGTGCATTCAACTCACAGAGTTGAAACTTCCTTTCGATAGAGCACTTTTGAAATACTCTTTTTTTAGAATTTCCAAGTGGATATTTAGAGCAGTTTGAGGCCTCTGGTAGAAAAGGAAATATCTTCATAGAAAAGCTAGACAGAATCATTCTCAGAAACTACTTTGTAATGTGTGCATTAAGCTTGCAGCTGTTAACCTTCCTTTTGATAGAGCAGTTGTGAAACACTATTTTGTGGAATTTGCAAATGTACATTTAGAGCGCTTTGAAGCCTATGGTAGAAAAGGAAATATCTTCACCTAAATATTAGACAGAAGCATTGTCATAAACTATTTTGTGATATTTGCATTCAACACACAGAGTTGAACATTCCTCTTGATAGACCAGTTTTGAAACACTCTTTTTGTAGAATCTGCTGGTGGATATTTGGACCTCTTTGTGACCTTTTTTTGAAACGTGATTTCTTCATTTAAAACTAGACAGAAGATTTCTCAGAAACTTATTTCTGAAGTGTGCTTTCAACTCTCAGTGTTGAACCTTCCTTTCGATAGAGCAGTTTTGAAACTCTCTTATTGCAGTATTTCCAAGTTGATATTTAGAGCAGTTTGAGGCCTAAGGTAAATAAGGAAATATCTTCATAGAAAAACTAAACAGAATCATTCTCAGAAACTACTTTGTGATTTGTGCGTTCAACTCACTGAATTTAAATTTTCTTTTGATAGAACAGTTTTGAAACACTCTGTTTGTAGAATCTGCAAGTGAATATTTGGACTTTCTTGAGGCCTTCTTTGGATGCGGGATTTCTTCATATAAAATTTGACAGAAGAATTCTCAGAAACATCTTTGTAATATGTGCATTGAACACACAGGTTTGAACCTTCCCTTCGATAGAGCAGTTTTTAAATACTCTTTTTTTAGAATTTCCTAGTGTATATTTAGAGCGTTTTGAGGCCCATAGTAGAAAAGGAAATATCTTCAAAGAAACTCTAGACAGAATCATTCTCAGAAATTTCTTTGTGATGTGTGCATTCAGCTTACAGAGTTCAACCTTTCTTTTCGTGGACCAGTTTTGAAACATTCTTTTTGTGGAATTTCCGAGTGTATATTTAGAGCGCTATGAGGCATACGGTAGAAAAGGAAATGTCTTCATGTAAAAACTAGACAGAAGTATTGTCAGAAACTACTTTGCGATATTTGCATTCAACTAACAGAGTTGAACATTCCTCGTGATAGAGCAGTTTTGAAACACTCTTTTTGTAGAATCTGCAAGTGGATATTTGTAACTCTTTGTGGCCTTCTTTTGAAACGTCATTTTTTCATATAAAATGAGACAGAAGAATTCTCAGAAACTACTTTGTGGTGTGTGCGTTCAACTCACAGACTTTAACCTTTCTTTTGATAGAGCAGTTTTGAAACTCTCTTTTTGTGGAATTTGCAAGTGTATATTTAGAGCGCTTTGAGGCCTAAGGCAGAAAAGGAAATACCTTCACATAAAAACTAGAGAGAAACATTGTCAGAAAATACTTTGTGATATTTGCATTCACTCAAAAGCTAAACATTCCCATTGATAGGGCAGTTATGAAACAGTCTTTTGGTTTAGGATTGCCTTGGCGATGCGGGCTCTTTTTTGGTTCCATATGAACTTTAAAGTTGTTTTTTCCAATTCTGTGAAAAAAGTCATTGGTAGCTTGATGGGGATGGCATTGAATCTGTAAATTACCTTGGGCAGTATGGCCATTTTCACGATATTGATTCTTCCTACCCATGAGCATGGAATGTTCTTCATTTGTTTGTATCTTCTTTTATTTCCTTGAGCAGTGGTTTGTAGTTCTCCTTGAAGAGATCCTTCACATCCCTTTTAAGTTGGATTCCTAGGTATTTTATTCTCTTTGAAGCAATTGTGAATGGGAGTTCACTCATGATTTGGCTCTCTGTTTGTCTGTTATTGGTGTATAAGAATGCTTGTGATTTTTGTACATTGATTTTGTATCCTGTGACTTTGCTGAAGTTGCTTATCAGCTTAAGGAGATTTTGGGCTGAGACAATGGGGTTTTCTAGATTTACAATCATGTCGTCTGCAAACAGCGACAATTTGACTTCCTCTTTTCCTAATTGAATACCTTTTATTTCCTTCTCCTGCCTAATTGCCTGGCCAGAACTTCTAACACTATGTTGAATAGGAGTGGTGAGAGAGGACATCCCTGTCTTGTGCCAGTTTTCAAAGGGAATGCTTCCAGTTTTTGCCCATTCAGTATGATATTGGCTGTGGGTTTGTCATAGATAGCTCTTATGATTTTGAATTACGTCCCATCAATACCTAATTTCTTGAGAGTTTTTAGCATGAAGCGTTGTTGAATTTTGTCAAAGGCTTTTTCTGCATCTATTGAGATAATCATGTGTTTTTTGTCTCTGGCTCTGTTTATATGCTGGATTACATTTATTGATTTGCATATATTGAACCAGCCTTGCATCCCAGGGATGAAGCCCACTTGATCATGGTGGATAAGCTTTTTGATGTGCTGCTGGATTTGTTTTGCCAGTATTTTATTGAGGATTTTTGCATCAATGTTCATCAAGGATATTGGTCTAAAATTCTCTTTTTTTGTTGCGTCTCTGCCCGGCTTTGGTATCAGAATGATGCTGGCCTCATAAAATGAGTTAGGGAGGATTCCCTCTTTTTCTATTGATTGGAATAGTTTCAGAAGGAATGGTACCAGGTCCTCCTTGTACCTCTGATAGAATTCGACTGTGAATCCTTCTGGTCCTGGACTCTTTTTGGTTGGTAAGCTATTGATTATTGCCACAATTTCAGCTCCTGTTATTGGTCTATTAAGAGATTCAACTTCTTCCTGGTTTAGTCTTGGGAGAGTGTATGTGTCAAGGAATTTATCCATTTCTTCTAGATTTTCTAGTTTATTTGCGTAGAGGTGTTTGTAGTATTCTCTGATGGTAGTTTGTATTTCTGTGGGATCGGTGGTGATATCCCCTTTACAATTTTTTAATTGTGTCTATTTGATTCTTCTCTCTTTTTTTCTTTATTAGTCTTGCTAGCGGTCTATCAATTTTGTTGATCCTTTCAAAAAACCAGCTCCTGGATACATTAATTTTTGAAGGGTTTTTTGTGTCTCTATTTCCTTCAGTTCTGCTCTGATTTTAGTTATTTCTTGCCTTCTGCTAGCTTTTGAATGTGTTTGCTCTTGCTTTTCTAGTTCTTTTAATTGTGATGTTAGGGTGTCAATTTTGGATCTTTCCTGCTTTCTCTTGTGGGCATTTAGTGCTATAAATTTCCCTTTACACACTGCTGTGGATGCGTCCCAGAGATTCTGGTATGTTGTGTCTTTGTTCTCGTTGGTTTCAAAGAACATCTTTATTTCTGCCTTCATTTTGTTATGTATCCAGTAGTCATTCAGGAGCAGGTTGTTCAGTTTCCATGTAGTTGAGCGGTTTTGAGTGAGATTCTTAACCATGAGTACTAGTTTGATTGCACTGTGGTCTGAGAGATAGTTTGTTATAATCTCTGTTCTTTTATATTTGCTGAGGAGAGCTTTACTTCCAACTATGTGGTCAATTTTGGAATAGGTGTGGTGTGGTGCTGAAAAAAATGTATATTCTGTTGATTTGGTGTGGAGAGTTCTGTAGATGTCTGTTAGGTCCGCTTGGTGCAGAGCTGAGTTCAATTCCTGGGTATCCTTGTTGACTTTCTCTCTCGTTGATCTGTCTAATGTTGACAGTGGGGTGTTAAAGTCTCCCATTATTAATGTGTGGGAGTCTAAGTCTCTTTGTAGGTCACTCAGGACTTGCTTTATGAATCTGGGTGCTCCTGCATAGGGTGCATATATATTTAGGATAGTTAGCTCTTCTTGTTGAATTGATCCCTTTACCATTATGTAATGTTGGTAGAATCTCCCAGTGGATGATTGGATCTCTTTGTGGCCATCGTTTGAAACGTGATTTCTTCATATAAAACTAGACAGAAGAATTCTCAGAAACTTCTTTGAGATGTGTACTTTCAACTCACAGAGTTGAACCTTCCTTTCGATGCAGCAATTTTTAAACTCTCTTTTTGAGGTATTTCCAAGAGGATATTAACGTCGTTTGCGGCCTATGGTAGAAAAGGCAATAATTTCCTAGAACAACTAAATAGAATGATTCTCAGAAACTACTTTGTGGTGTGTGCGTTCAACTCACAGATTTTAACATTTCTTTTGATAGATCAGTTTAGAAACACTCTTTTTGCAGAATCTGCAAGGGAATATTTGGACTGTTTTGAGGCCTTCTTTTTAAACGGGATTTCTTCATATAAAACTTGACAGAAGAATTCTCAGAAACTTATTTGTGATGTGTGCATTCAACTCACGGGGTTGAACGTTCCTTTCGGTAGAGCAGTTTGAAATACTCTTTTTGTCGGGTTTCCAAGTGGATATTTACAGCGGTTTGAGGACTGTGGTAGAAAAGGAAATATCTTCATAGAAAAACTAGAGAGAATCATTCTCAGAAAGTACTTCCTGATGTGTGAACTCTCAGCTTACAGAGTTCAACCTTTCTTTTGATAGGGCAGTTTTAAAACACACTTTTTGCGGAATCTGCAAGTGTATATTTAGAGCGCTTTGAGGCCCACAGTAGAAAAGGAAATATCTTCACATAAAAACTAGACAGAAGCATTGTTAGAAACTAATTTGTGATATTTGCATTCAACTCACAGAGTTGAACATTCCTCTTGATAGAGCAGTTTTGAAACACTCTTTTAGTAGAATCTGCAAGTGGGTATTTGGACCTCTTTGTGGCCTTCGTTTGAAACACGATTTCTTCACATAAAACTAGACAGAAGAATTCTCAGAAACTTCTTTGTGATGTATGCTTTCAACTCACAGAATTGAACATTCCTTTCGATAGAGCAGTTTTGAAACCCTCTTTTTGTAGAATTTCCAAGTGGATATTTAGCGCCATTTGACGCCTAAGTTAGAAAAAGCAATGTCCTCATTGAAAAACTAGACAGAATGTTTCTCAGAAACTACTTTGTGGTGTGTGCGTTCAACACAGAGAGTTTAACATTTATTTTGATACAGCAGTTTTGAAACCCTCTTTTTGTGGAATTTGCAATTGTATATTTAGAGCGCTTTGAGGCCTACGGTAGAAAAGGAAATATCTTCACATAAAAACTAGACAGAAGCATTGTCAGAAACTACTTTGTGATATTTGCATTCACTCACAGAGCTGAACATTCCCCTTGATAGGGCAGTTTTGAAACAATCTTTTTGTAGAATGTGTAAGTGGATAATTGGACCTCTTTGTGTCCATCTTTTGAAACGTGATTTCTTCATATAAAACTAGACAGAAGAATTCTCAGAAACCTCTTTGGGATGTGTGCTTTCAACTCACAGAGTTGAACCTTCCTTTCGATACTGCAGTGTTGAAGCTCTCCTTTTGTAGAATTTCCAAGTGGATATTTAGCACCGTTTGAGGCCTCTGGTAGAAAAGACAATAATTTCATAGAAAAACCAGACAGAATGATTCTCAGAAACGACTTTGTGGTGTGTGCGTCCAATTCAAAGATCTTAACCTTTCTTTTGATAGAGTAGTTTTGAAACACTCTTTTTGTAGAATCTGCTAGTGAGTATTTGGACTTTTTTGAGGCCTTCGTTGGAAACGGGATTTCTTCATAAAAAACTTGAGAGAGGAATTCTCAGAAACTTTCTTGTGATTTGTGCATTTAGATCCCAGAGTTGAAATTTCATTTCGATAGAGCAGTTTTGAAATAATCTTTTTGTAGACATTCCAAGTGGATATTCAGAGCGGTTTGTGGCCTGTGGTAGAAAAGGAAATATCTTCATAGAAAAACTATACAGAATCATTCTCAGAACCTCCTTTGTGATGTATGCATTCAGCTTAGAGTGATTAACCTTTCTTTTTATAGAGCAGTTTTGAAATACTCTTTTTGTGGAATTTGCAAGTGTATATTTAGAGCGCTTTGAGGCCTATGGTAGAAAAGGAAATAACTTCACATAAAAATTACACAGAAGCATTATCAGAAACTAGTTTGGGATATTTGCATTCAAATCACAGAGTTGAACATTCCTCTTCATAGAGCAGTTTTGGAACACTCTTTTTGTAGAATCTGCCAGTGGATATTTGGATCTCTACGTGGCCTTCGTGTGAAATGTATTTTCTTCTTATAAAACAAGACAGAAGAATTCTCAGAAACTTCTTTTTGATGTGCGCTTTCAACTCGCAGAGTTGAACCTTCCTTTCGATAGAGCAGTTTTGAAACTCTCTTTTTGTAGAATTTCCAAGGGGATATTTAGCGCCATGTGGGGCCTATGGTAGAAAAGGCAATATCTTCATCGAAAAACCAGACAGAATAATTCTCAGAAACTACTTTGTGGTGTGTGTGTTCAACTCGCAGAGTTTAAACTTTCTTTCGATAGACCAGGTTTGAAACCCTCTTTTTGTAGACTCTGCAAGTGAATATTTGGACTTTTTTGAGGCCTTTTTGGAAACGGGTTTTCTTCATATGAAACTTGACTGAATAATTCTCAGAAACCTATTTGTGATGTGTGCATTCAACTCACAGAGTTGTACCTTCATTTCGATAGAGCAGTTTTGAAATACTCTTTTTGTAGATTTTCCAAGTGGATATTTAGAGCGGTTTGAGGCCTGTGGTGGAAAAGGAAATATATTAATAGAAAAACTAGATAGAATCATTCTCAGAAACTACTTTGTGATGTTTGCATTCAGCATACAGAATTTAACCTTTCTTTTGATAGAGCAGTTTTGAAACACTCTTTTTGTGGAATTTGCAAGTGTATATTTAGAGTGCTGCGAGACCTACGGTAGAAAAGGAGATATCTTCACATAAAAACTAGACAGAAGCATTGTCAGAGACTACTTTGTGATATTTTCATTCAACTCACAGAGTTGAACATTCCTTTTGATGGAGCAGTTTTGAAACACTCTTTTTGTAAAATCTGCAAGTGGATATTTTGACCCATTTGTGGCTTCGTTTGAAACGTGATTTCTTCATATAAAACTAAACAGAAGGATTCTCAGAAACTTCTTTGTGATATGTGCTTTCAACTCTCAGAGTTGAACTTTCCTTTCGATAGAGCAGTTTCAAAACTCTCTTTTTGTAGAAATTCCAAGTGGATATTTAGCACCGTTTCTGGCCTAAGGTAGAAAAGGAAATATCTTCATAGGAAAATTAGAAAGAATGATTCGCAGAAACTACTTTGTGATGTGTGCGATCAACCCACGGAGTTTAATCTTTCTTTTCATAGAGCAGTTGTGAAACACTCTTCTTGTAAGATCTCCTAGTGAATATTTGGACTTTTTTGAGACCTTCTTTGTAAACGGGATTTCTTCATATGAAACTTGACACAAGAATTCTCAGAAACTTCTTTGTGATCTGTGCATTCCACACACAGTGATGTAGCTTCCTTTCGTTAGAGCAGTTTTGAAATAATCTTTTTGTAGAATTTCCAAGTAGATATTTAGAGCGGTTTGAGGCCTCTAGTAGAGATGGAAATATCTTCATAGAAAAACTAGACAGAATCATTCTCAGAAACTACTTTGTGATGTGTGTATTCAGCTTACAGAGTTTAATCTTACCTTTGATAAGAGCAGTTTTGAAACACTCTTTTTGTAGAATTTGCAAGTGTATATTTAGAGCGCTTTGAGGCCTATGGTAGAAAAGGAAATATCTTCACATAAAAACTAGACAGATTCATTGTCAGGAAGTACTCTGTGATATTTGCATTCAACTCACAGAGTTGAACATTTCTCTCGATAGGACAGTTTTGAAATACACTTTTTGTAGAATCTGCGAGTGCATATTTCGACCTCTTTGTGGTCTTCGTTTGAAATGTGATTTCTTCATATAAAACTAGACAGAAGAATTCTCAGAAACTTCTTTGTGATGTATGCTTTGAACTCACAGACTTGAACCTTCCTTTCGATGGAGCAGTTTTGAAACTGTCTTTTTGTAGCTTTTCCAAGTGGGTATTTAGCACCGTTTGTGGCCTATGGTAGAAAAATCAAAGTCTTCATAGAAAAACTAGACAGAATGATTTTCAGAAACTACTTTGTGATGTGTGCATTCAATTCACAGAGTTTAACCTTTCTTTTGATAGTGCAGTTTTGAAGCACCCTTTTTGTAGAAACTGCAGGAGAACATTTGGACTTTTTTGAGGCCTTCGTTGGAAACGGGTTTTCTTCATATTAAACTTTACAGAAGAATTCTCAGAAACTTCTTTCTGATTTGTGCATTCAACTCACAGAATTGAACCTTCCTTTCCATAGAGCAGTTTTGAAATTCCCTTTTTGTTGTATTTCCAACTCGATATTTAGAGAGCTTTGAGGCCTACGGCAGAAAAGGAAATATCTTCACATAAAAACTAGACAGAAGCATTGTGAGAAACTTCTTTTTGATATTTGCATTCAACTCACAGAGTTGAACGTTCCTCTTGATAGAGCAGTTTTGAAACACTCTTTTTGTAGAATCTGCAAGTGGATATTTGGAGTTCTTTGTGGTCTTCTTTTGAAACGTGATTTCTTCATGTAAAACTAGACAGAAGAATTCTCAGAAACTTCTTTGTGATGTTTGCTTTCAATTCACAGTGTTCAACCTTCCTTTCGTAGAGCAGTTTTGAAACTATCTTTTTGTGGAATTTCTAAGTGGATATTTAGCGCCGTTTGGGGCCTATGTTAGAAAAGGCACAATCTACATAGAATACTAGACAGAATCATTCTCAGAAACTATTTTGTGATGTGAGCGTTCAACTCACAGGGTTTAACCTTTCTTTTGATAGAGCATTTTTGAAACACTCTTTTTGTAGTATCTGCAAGTGAATATTTGGACTTTTGTGAGGCCCTCTTTGGAAACGGGATTTCTTCATATAAAACCTGACAGAAGAACTCTTAGAAACTTCTTTGTGATGTTTGCATTCAACTCACAGTGTTGAACCTTCCTTGCAATAGAGCAGTTTTTAAATATTATTTTCGTAGAATTTCCAAGTGGATATTTAGAGCGGTTTGAGGCCCTTGGTAGAAAAGGAAATAACTTCATAAAAAACTAGGCAGAATCACTCTCAGAGACAACTTAGTGCAGTGTGAATTCAGCTTACAGAGTTTAATATTTTTTTGATAGAGCACTTTTGAAGCAATCTTTTTGTGGAATTTGCAAGTGTGTATTTAGAGTGCTTTGAGGCATACGATAGAAAAGGAAATATCTTCACATAAAACTAGATAGAAGTATTGTCAGAAACAACTTTGTGATATTTGCATTCAACTAACAGATTTGAACTTTCCTCTTGATAGAGCAGTTTTGAAAAACTCTTTTGAAGAATCTGCAAGTAGATAATTGAAACTCTCTGTGATCTTTGTTTGAAACGTGATTTCTTCATATAAAACTAGACAGAAGAATTCTCCGAAACTTATTTGTGATGTGTGCTTTCAACTCACAGTGCTGAACCGTCCTTTCATTAGAGCAGTTTTGAAATACTCTTTTTGTAGATTTTCCAAGTGGATATTTAGAGCGGTTTGAGGCCTATGGTAGAAAAGGAAATATCTTCAAATAAAAACTAGACAGAATGATTCTCAGAAACTACTTTGTGATGAGTGCGTTCAACTCACAGAGTTTAACCTTTCTTTTGATAGAGCTGTTTTGAAACAGCCTTTTTGTAGTATCTGTGAGTGTATATTTAGAACTCTTTGTCACTTTCGTTAGAAACATGATTTCTTCGTATAAAACTTCACAGAAGAATTCTAAGAAACATCTTTGTGATGTGTGCTTTCAACTCACAGAGTTGAACATTCCTCTTGATAGAGCAGTTTTGAAACACTATTTATGTAGAATCTGCAAGTGGATATTTGGGCCTCTTTGTAGCCTTCTTTTGAAAAGTCATTTCTTCATATAAAACTAGACAGAATAATTCTCAGAAACTTCTTTGTGCTGTGTGCTTTCAACTCACAGAATTGAACTTTCCTTTTAATAGAGCGATTTTGAAACTCACATTTTGTAGGATTTCGAAGTGGATATTGAGTGCCATTTCAGGCCTATGTTATAAAGGAAATATCTTAATAGAAATACTAGACCGAATGATGCTCAGAAACTAATTTGTGATATGTGGGTTCAACTCACCGAGTTTAAACTTTCTGTTGATAGAGCAGTTTTGATACACTCTTTTTGTCGAATCTGCAAGTGAATATTTTTGACTTTTTTGAGGCCTTCGTTTGAAACTGCATTTCTTCATATAAAACTTGACAGAAAAATTCTCAGAAACTTCTTTCTGATGTGTGCATTCAACTCACAGAGTTGAACCTTCCTTTCTATAGAGAAGTTTTGAAATACTCTTTTTGCAAAATATCCAAGTGGATATTTGGAGAGGTGTTTAGGTCTGTCGTAGAAAAGGAAATATCTTCTTAGAAAAACTGGACAGAATCATTGTGAGAAACTGCTTTTTGATGTGAGCATTGAGCTTATAGAATTTAACCTTTCTTTTGATAGAGCAGTTTTGAAACACTCTTTCTGTGGAATTTTTGTTCATTTAGGGCGCTTTGAGGCCTACAGTAGAAAAAGAAATATCTTCACATAGAAACTAGACAGAAGCTTTGTCAGAAACTGCTTTGTGATATTTGCATTTAACTCACAGAGTTGAGCATTCCTCTTGATAGAGCAGTTTTGAAACACCCTTTTTGTAGAATCTGCAGGTGGATATTTGGACCTCTTTGTGGCCTTCGTTTGAAATGTGATTTATTCATATAAAACTAGACAGAAAAATTATCAGAAACTTCTTTGTATTGTGTGCTTTCAACTCACAGATTTGAAGCTTCCTATCGATAGAGCAATTTTGAAACTGTCTTTTTGTAAAATTTCCAATTGGATAGATATTTAGCGTGGTTTGAGGCCTATGGTAGAACAGAAAATATCTTCATAGAAAAACTAGACAGAAGGATTCTCAGAAACTTCTTTGAGATGAGTGCATTCAACTCACAGAGTTTAACTTTTCTTTTGATAGAGCAGTTTTGAAACACTATTTTTGTAGTATCTGCGAGTGGATATTTAGACCTCTTTGTGGCATTCGTTAGAAACGTGATTTCTTTGTATAAAACTACACAGAAGAATTCTAAGAAACTACTTTGTGATGTGTGCTTTCAACTCACAGAGTTGAACCTTTCTTTTGATAGAGCAGTTTTGAAACTCTGTTTTTGTAGTATTTCCAAGTGGATATTTAGTGCTGTTTGAGGCCTATGGTAGAAAAGGCAATATCTTCATAGAAAAACTAGACAGAATGATTCTCAGAAACTACTTTGCCATGTGTGCGTTCAACTCACAGAGTTTAACTTTTCTTTTGATAGAGCAGTTTTGAAACACTCTTTTTGTAGAATCTGCAATGGAATATTTGGACTTTTTTGGGGCCTCCGTTGGAAACGAGATTTCTTCATTTAAAACGTGACAGAAGAATTCTCAGAAACTTCTTTGGGATTTCTGCATTCAACTCACAGTGTTGAACCTTTTTTTCGATAGAGCAGGTTTGAAATAATCTTTTTGCTGAATTTCCAAGTGGATATTTAGAGGGGTTTGAGGCCTATGGTAGAAAAGGAAATATCTTCATAGAAAATCTAGACAGAATCATTCTCAGAAACTACTTTGTGATGTGTGCATTCGGGTTACGGAGTTTAACCTTTCTTTTGATAGAGCAGTTTTGAAAAAAACTTTTTTTGTGGAATTTGCAAGTGTATATTTAGAGCTCCTTGAGGCCTACGGCAGAAAAGGATATATCTTCACATAAAAACTAGACAGAAGCATTGTCAGAAACTACTTTGTGATATTTGCATTCAACTCACAGAGTTGAACATTCCTCTTGATAGAGCAGTTTTGAAACACTCTTTTAGTAGAATCTGCAAGTGGACATTTGGACCTCTTTGAGGTCTTCATTTGAAACGTGATTTCTTCATATAAAAATAGACAGAAGAATTCTCAGGAACTTCTTTGTGATGTGTGCTTTCAACTCACAGAGTTGAACCTTCCTTTCGATAGAGCAGTTTTGAAACTCTCTTTTTGTAGAATTTCCAAGTGGATATTTGCCGCCGTTTGAGGCCTATGTTAGAAAAGGCAATATCTTCATAGAAAAATTTGACAGAATGATTCTCAGAAACTACTTTGTGATGTGTGAGTTCAACTCACAGATTTTAACCTTTCTTTTGATAGAGCAGTTTTGAAACACTTTTTGTAGAATCCGCAACGAATATTTGGACGTTTTGGGGGCCTTCGTTGGAAACGAGATTTCTTCATATAAAACGTGACAGGAGAATTCTCAGAATCTTCTTTGTGATGTGTGCTTTTAACTCACAGAGTTGAACCTTCGTTTCGATAGAGCACTTTTGAAATACTCTTTTTGTAAAATTTCCAAGTGAGTATTTAGAGCGGTTTGAGGCCTGTGGAAGAAAAGGATATAACTTCATAGAAAAACTAGACAGAATCATTCTCAAAACATTTTGCGGTGTGTTCATTCAGCATACAGAGATTACCCTTTCTTTTGTAGAGCAGTGTTGAAGCACTCTTTTTGTGGAATTTGCAAGTATATATTTAGAGCGCTTTGAGGCCTACGGTAGAAAAGGAAATATCTTCACCTAAAAACTAGACAGAAGAAATGTCAGAAACTACTTTGTGATATTTGCATTCAACTCACACAGGTGAACATTCCTCTTGATAGAGCAGTTTTGAAACACTCTTTTTGTAGAATCTGCAAGTGGATATTTGGACCTCTTTGGGGTCTTCGTTTGAAACGTGATTTCTTCAAATAAAACTCGATAGAAGAATTCTAAGAAACTTCTTTGTGATGTGTCCTTTCAACTCACAGAGTTGAAACTTCCTTTTGAATGAGCAGTTTTGAGATTCACATTTTGTAGAATTTCCAAGTGGATATTTCACTCCGTTTGAGGCCTATGGTAGAAAAGACAATATCTTCTTTGAGAAACAAGACACAATGATTCTCAGAAACTACTTTGTGGTGTGTGCGTTCAACTCAAAGAGTTTAACCTTTCTTTTGGTAGAGCAGTTTTGAAGCACTCTATTTGTAGGATCTGCAAGTGAATATTTGGAATTTTGTGGCCTTCGTTGGAAACGGGATTTCTTCATATAAAAGTTGATAGAAGAATTCTCAGAAACTTCTTTCTGATGTGTGCTTCCAACACACAGAGTTGAACCTTCCTATCCTTAGAGCAGTTATGAAACTCTCTTATTGTAGAATTTCCAAGTGGATAGAAAAATTGGACAGAATCATTCTCAGAAACTAATTTGTGATGTTGGCATTCAGGTTACAGAGTTTAACCTTTCACTTGACAGAGCAGTTTTGAACACTCTTTTTGTGGAATTTGCAAGTTTATATTGAGAGGGCTTTGAGGCCTATGGTAGAAAAGGAATTATCTTCACATAAAACTAGACAGAGGCATTGTCAGAAACTACATTTTGATATTTGCATTCAACTCCCAGAGTTGAACATTCTTCTTTATAGAGCAGTTTTGAAACACTCTTTTTGTAGAATCTGCAAATTAATATTTGTATATTTTGAGGCCTTCTTTTGAAACGGGATTTCTTCATAAAAAACTTGACATAAGAATTTTCAGAAAGTTCATTGTGTTGTGTGAGTTCAACTAAAAGGGATGAATCTTCCTTTCGATAGAGCAGTTTTGAAAGACTGTTTTTATAGAATTTCCAAGTGGATATTTATAGCGGTTTGTCGCCTGTGGTAGAAAAGGAAATATCTTCATAAAAAAACTAGATAGATAGAAAAATTATCAGAAACTGCTTTGTGATGTGTGCATTCAGCTTACAGAGTTTAGAAAAATTATCAGAAACTGCTTTGTGATGTGTGCATTCAGCTTACAGAGTTTAACCTTTCTTTTGATAGAGCAGTTTTGAAACACTCTTTTTGTGGAATTTGCAAGTGTATATTTAGATCGCTTTCAGGCCTACGGTAGATAAGGAAATATCTTCACATAAAAACTAGACAGAAGCATTGTCAGAAACTACTTTGTGATAGTGGCATTCAACTTACAGAGTTTCACCTATCTTTTGATAGAGCAGTTCTGAAATACTCTTTGTGTGTAATTTGCAACTGTATATTTAGAGTGCTTTGAGGTCTACGGTAGAAAAGGAAATATCTTCCCATAAAAACTTGACAGAAGCATTGTCAGAAACTAATTTGTGATATTTGTATTCATCTCACAGAATTGACAATTCCTCCTGATAGAGCAGTTTTGAAACACTCCTATTGTAGAATCTGCATGTGGATATTTGGACCTCTTTGTGCCCTTCGTTTGAAATGTGATTTCTTCATATAAAACTAGACAGAAGAATTCTCAGAAACTTCTTTGTGATGTGTGCTTTCAACTCACAAAGTTGAACCTTCCTTTCGATAGAGCAGTTTTGAAACTCTCTTTTTGTAGAATTTCCAAGTGGATATCTATCGCCGTTTGAGGCCTATGGTTAAAAAGAAAATATCCTGGCCGGGCGCGGTGGCTCACGCCTGTAATCCCAGCACTTTGGGAGGCCGAGGCAGGCGGATCACGAGGTCAGGAGATCGAGACCATCCCGGCTAAAACGGTGAAACCCCGTCTCTACTAAAAATACAAAAAATTAGCCGGGCGTAGTGGCGGGTGCCTGTAGTCCCAGCTACTTGGGAGGCTGAGGCAGGAGAATGGCGTGAACCCGGGAGGCGGAGCTTGCAGTGAGCCGAGATCCCGCCACTGCACTCCAGCCTGGGCGACAGAGCGAGACTCCGTCTCAAAAAAAAAAAAAAAAAAAAGAAAATATCCTCATAGGAAAATTAGACAGAATGATTCTGAGAAATTGGTTTCTGATGGGTGCATTCAACTCACAGAGTTTAACCTTTCTTTTGAAAGAGTAGATTTGAAACACCCTTTTTGTAGGTTCTGCTAGTGAATATTAGGAATTCTTGGGGGCCTTCGTTGCAAACGGGTTTTCTTCATATAAATGTTGAAAGAGGAATTCTCAGAAACTTCTTTGTGATGTGTGCATTCAAATCACAGTGTTTAACCTTCCTTTCGATAGAGCAGTTTTGAATTACTCTTTTTGTAGAATTTCCAAGTGTATAATTATAGCGGTCTGAGACCTGTGGTAGAAAACGAAATATCTTCATAGAGAAACTAGACAGAATCATTGTCAGAAACTAGTTGTGAGGTGTGCATTCACCTTACAGAGTTTAACATTTCTTTTGATAGAGTAGTTTTGAAACACTCTTTTTGTGGAATTTGCAATTGTGTATTTAGAGTGCTTCGAGGCCTACGGTAGAAAAGGAAATATCTTCACATAAAAACTAGACAGAAGCATTGTCAGAAACTACTTTGTGATATTTGCATTCAACTCACAGATTTGAACATTCCTCTTGATAGAGCAGTTTTGAAACACTATTTATGTAGAGTATGCAAGTGGATATTTGGGCCTCTTTGTGGCCTTCTTTTGAAACGTGATTTCTTCATATAAAACTACAGAGAAGAATTCTCAGAATCTTCTTTGTTATGTGTGCTTTCAACTCACAGAGTTGAACCTTCCTTTCGATAGAGCAGTTCTGAAACTCTCTTTTTGTAGAATTTCCAATGGTATATTTAGTGACCTTTCAGGCCTATGGTAGAAAAGGAAATATCTTCATAGGAAAGTTAGACAGAATGATTCTCAGAAACTACCTTTTGATGTGAGTGTTCAACTAACAGAGTTTAACCTTTGTTTTGATAGAGAAGATTTGAAACACTCTCTTTGTAGAAACTGCTTGTGAATATTTCGATTTCTTTTGGGCCTTCGTTGCAAATGGGATTTCTTCATATAAATCTTGAAAGAAGAATTCTCAGAAACTTCTTTGTGATGTGTGCATTCAACTCACAAAGTTGAACCTTCCTTTCGATAGAGCAGTTTTGAATAACTCTTTTTGTAGAATTTCCAAGTGGGTATCTTCAGCGGTTTGAGGCGTGTGGTAGAAAAGGAAATAACTTCATGCAAAAACTGACAGAATTATTGTCAGAAACTAATTTGTGATGTGTGCATTCAGATTACTGATTTTAACCTTTCTTTTGATAGAACAGTTTTGAAACACACTTTTTGTGGAATTGGCAACTGTATATTTAGAGAGTTTTGAGGCCTACTGTAGAAAAGGAAATATCTTCACATAAAATCTGGACAGATGCATTGTCCGGAACCACTTTTTGATATTTGCATTCAACTCACAGAGTTGAAAATTATTCTGGATAGAACAGTTTTGTAACACTCTTTTTGTAAAATCTGCAAGTGGATATTTGGGCCTCTTTCTGGCCTTCTTTTAAAACGTGATTTCTTCATATAAAAGTAGACAGAATGATTCTCAGAAACTCCTTTGTGATGTGTGCTTTCAACTCACAGAGTTGAACCTTCCTTTCGATAGAGGAGTTTTGAAACTCTCTTTTTGTAGAATTTCCCTGTGGATAATTAGCGTCGTTTCGCGCCTATGGTAGAAAAGGAAATATCTTCATAGATATACTAGACAGAATGATTCTCAGAAACTACATTGTGATGTGTGCGTTCAACTCACAGAGTTTAAACTTTCTGTTCATAGAGCAATTTTGAAACACACTTTTTATAGAATCTGCAAGTGAATATTCGGACTTTTTTGAGGCCTTCGTTGGAAACGGGATTTCGTCATATAAAACTTGATAGAAGAATTCTTGGAAACTTCTTTGTGATGTGTGCATTCAACTGACAGGGTTGAACCTTCCTTTTGATAGAACAGTTTTGAAATACTCTTTTTGCAGAATATCCAAGTGGATATTTGGAACGGTTTTTAGGTATGTGGTTGAAAAGGAAATATCTTCCTAGAAAAACTAGACAGAATCATTCTGAGAAACTCCTTTTTGATGTAAGCATTCAGCTTACAGTAGTTAATCTTTCTTTTGATAGAGCAGTTTTCAAATTCTCTTTCTGTGGGATATGTAAGTGTTTATTTAGAGCGCTTTGAGGCCTACAGTAGAAAAGGAAATATCTTCACAAAAAAAGTAGACAGAAGCATTGTTAGGAACTACTTTGTGATATTCACCTTCAACTCACAGAGTTGAACATTCCTCTTCATAGAGCAGTTTTGAAACAGTCTTATTTTAGAATCTGCAAGTGGATATTTGCGCCTCTTTGTGGACTTCTTTTGAAACATGATTTCTGCCTATAAAACCAGACAGAAGTATTCTCAGAAACTTCCTGTGATGTGTGCTTTCAACTCACAGAGTTGAAGCTTCCTTTCGATAGAGCAATTTTGAAACAGTCTTTTTGTAGCATTTCCAAGTATATATTTAGTGTCGTTTGAGGCCTATGGTAGAAAAGGCAATAACTTCATAGAAAAACAAGACAGAATGATTCTCAGAAACTACTTTGTGATGTGTGCGTTCAACTCACAGAGTTTAAACTTTCTTTTAATAGAGTAGTTTTGAAACACTCTTTTTGTAGAATCTGCAAGTGAATATTTGGACTTTCTTGAGGCCTTCTTTGGAAACGGGATTTCTTCATATAAAATTGGACAGAAGAATTTTCAGAAACTTCTTTGTGATGTGTGCCTTCAACTCACAAAGTTGAACTTTCCTTTCGATAGACCAGCTTTGAAATACTCTTTTTGTTGAAATTCCAAGTGGATATTTAGAGCGGTTTGAGGCCTATGGTAAAAAAGGAAATATCTTCATAGAAAACCGGACAGAATCCTTCTCTGAAACTACTTTGTGAAGTGTGCATTCAGCTTACAAAGTTTAACATTTCTTTTGATAGAGCAGTCTTGAAACACTCTTTTTGTGGAATTTGCAAGTGTATATTTAGAGAGCTTTGAGGCCTATGGTGGAAAAGGAGATATCTTCACATAAAAACTTGAAAGAAGCTTCGTCAGAAACTACTTTGTGATATTTGCATTCAACGCATTCAACTCACAGATTTGAACATTCCTCTTGATAGAGCAGTTTTGAAACACTCTTTTTGAAGAATCTGCAAGGGGATATTTCGACCTCTTTGTTGCCTTCGTATGAAACGTGATTTCTTCATATAAATCTAAACGGAAGAATTTTCAGAAACTTCTTTGTGATGTGTGCTTTCAACTCACAGAGTTGAAACTTCCTTTCGATTGAGCTGTTTTGAAACTCTCTTTTTGTAGAATTTCCAAGTGGATATTTAGCGCCGTTTGAGGCCTTTGGTAGAAAAGGCAATATCTTCATAGAAAAACTAGACAGAATAATTCTCAGAAACTACTTTGTGATGTGTGGGTTCAACTCACCGAGTTTAACCTTTATTTTGATAGAGCAGTTTTGAAACACTGTTTTTGTAGAATCTGCAAGTGAATATTTGTATTTTTTGAGGCCTTCTTTGGAAACGGGATTTCTTCATATAAAACTTGACAGAAGAATTCTCAGAATCTTCTTTGCGATGTGCAAATTCAACTCACAGTGTTGAGCCTTCTTTTGATTGAGCAGTTTTGCAGTTCTATTTTTGTAGCATTTCCAAGTGGACATATAGAGAGGTTTCAGGCCTGTGGTAGAAAAGGAAATACCTTCATAGAAAAAATAGACAGAGTCATTCTCAGAAACTAATTTGTGACGTGTGCATTCAGCTTACACAGTTTAACGTTTCTTTTACTAGAGCAGTTGTGAAACACTCTTTTTGTGGAATTTGCAAGTGTATATTTATAGTGCTTTGAGGCCTACGGCAGAAAAGGAAATAGCTTCACATAAAAACTAGACAGAATCATTCTCTGAAACTAATTTGTGATGTGGGCATTCTGCTCACACAGTTTAACCTTTCTTCTGAAAGAGCCGTTTCGAAACACTCTTTTTGTACAATCTGCTAGTGAATATTTGGACTTTAGGGGCCTTCATTGGAAACGGGTTTTCTTCATATAAAACGGACAGAAGAATTCTCAGAAACTTCTTTGTGATGTGTGCTTTCAACTCACAGAGTTGAACCTTCCTTTCGATAGAACAGTTTTGAAATACACTTTTTGCAGAATTTCCAAGTGGAAATTTGGAGCGGTATGAGGCCTGTGGTAGAAAATGAAATATCTTCTTGGAAAAACTAGAGAGAATCATTCTGGGAAAGTAATTTGTGATGTGTGCATTCAGCTTATAGTGTTTAATATTTCTTTGATAGAGCAGTTTTGAAACGATCTTTTGTGAAGTTTTCAAGTGTGTATTTTGACCACTTTGAGGCCTACGGTGGAAAAGGAAATATCTTCACATAAAAACTAGACAGAAGAATTTTCAGAAACTACTTTGTGATACTTGCATTCAACTCACAGAGTTGTACATTGCCCTTGATAAAGCAGTTTAGAAACTCGCTTTTTGTATAATCTTCAAGTGAATATTTTGACCTCTTTGTGGCCTTCCTTTGAAACGTGATTACTTCATATAAAACTATACACAAGAATTCTGAGAATCTTCTTTGTGATGTGTGCTTTCATCTCACAGATTTGAAGATTCTTTTCAATAGAGCAGTTTTGAAACTCTCTTTTTGTAGAATTTCCAAGTGGATATTTAAATCCGTTCGAGGCCTAAGGTAGAAAAGGCAGTTTCTTCATAGAAAAACTAGACGGAGTGATTCTCAGAAACTACTTTGCGGTGTGTGCGTTCAACTCACAGAGTTTAAACTTTCTTTTGATAGAGCAGTTTTGAAACACACTTTTTATGGAATTTACAAGTGTATATTTAGAGTGCTTTGAGGCCTACGGTAGAAGAGGAAATATCTTCACCTAAAAACTAGACAGAAGCATTTACAGAAACTACTGTGAGATATTTGCATTCCACACACTTCCAGATGTGTGCGTTCATCTCTCGGAGTTTAACCTTTCTTTCGATAGAGCAGTTTTGATACACTGTTTTTGTGGAATTTGCAAGTGTATATTTACAGCGCTTTGAGGCCTAAAGTAGAAAAGGAGCTAGACAGAAGCATTATCAGTAACTACTTTGCGATATTTGCATTCAACCCACAGAGTTGAACATTCCTCTTGATAGAGCAGTTTTGAAACACCGCTTTTGTGGAATCTGCAAGTGAATACTTGGACCTCTTTGAGGCTTTCGTGGGAACGGGAATTTCATCATAAAAAAACTAGACAGAAGAATTCTCAGAAACTTCTTTTTGATGTGTGCATTCAACTCGCAGATGTGAAAGTTCCTTTCAATAGAGCAGTTTTGAAACACTCTTTTTGTAGATCTTGCAAGTGTGTATTTAGAGCGCTTTGAGGCCTATAGTAGAAAAGGAAATATCTTCGTAGAAAAACTACACAGAAGCATTCTCAGAAACTCCTTTGTTGTGTTTGCATTCAACTCACAGAGTTGAGCATTCCTCTTGATAGAGCCGTTTTGAAACACTCTTTTTGTAGAATCTGCAGGTGGATATTTAGACCTCTTAGAGGCCTTCGTTGGAAAAGGGATTTCTTCATATAAAACTAGACAGAAGAATTCTCAGGAATTTCTTTGTGATGTCTGTACTCAACTCACAGAGGTGAATATTCCTTTTGATAGAGCAGTTTAGAAACACTCTTTTTGTAGAGTTTGCAAGTGGATATTTAGAGCGTTTTGAGGCCAATGTTAGAAAAGGAATTACCTTCACATAAAAACAAGACAGAAGCATTCTCTGAAACTACTTAGTGATGCGTGTATTCAACTCACTGAGTATAACCTTTATTTTGATAGAGGAGTTTTGAAACAGTCTTTTTGTATAATTTGCAAGTGTGTATTTAGAGTGCTTTGAAGTCTACGGTAGAGAAGGAAATATCTTCACATAAAAACGAAAAAGAAGTATTCTCAGAAACTGCTTTGTGATGTTCGCATTCAACTCACAGAGTTGAACTTTCCACTTGACAGAGCAGTTTTGAAACACTCTTTTTGCAGAATCTTCTAGTGGATATTTGGACCACTATGAGGCCTTCGTTGTAAACGGGATTTCTTCATATAAAACTAGACAGAAGAGTTCTCAGAGACTTCTTTGTGATGTGTGCATCCAATTCACAGAGTTGAACATTCCTTTTGATAGAGCAGATTTGAAACACTCTTTTTGTAGAATTTCCAAGAGAATATTTAGAGCACATTGAATCCTATGGTAGAAAACTGAATATCTTCATACAAAAACTAGACAGAATTATTCCCAGAAACTACTTTGTGATGTGTGCCTTCAACTCACAGAGTTTAACCCTTCTTTTGATAGAGCGGTTTTCAAACACTGTGTTTGTAAAGTCTGCATCTGGATATTTGGAGCGCTTTGAGGTTTTCTTTGGAAACGGGAATATCTTCACATAAAAAAAGGAGACAAAGTATTCTCAGAAACTACTTTGTGATGTCTGTACTCAACTCACAGAGGTGAACCTTCCTTTTGATAGAGCGGTTTTGAAACACTCTTTTTGTAGAGTTTGTAAGTGGGTATTTAGAGCGCTTTGAGGCCTACGGTAGAAAAGGAAACATCTTCACATAAAAACTAGACAGAAGCATTCTCAGAAACTACTTTGTGATGTATGCATTCAACCCGCAGAGTTAAACATTCCTTTTGATAGAGCAGTTTGTAACACTCTTTTTCTAGGATCTGCAAGTGGATATTTGGACCTCTTTGTGGTCTTCGTTTGAAACGTGATTTCTTCACATAAAACTAGACAGAAGAATTCTCAGAAGCTTCTTTGTGATGTGTGCATTCAACTCACAGAGTTGAATGTTCCTTTCAAAAGAGCAGTTTTGAAACACTCTTTTTGTAGAATTTCCAAGTGGATATTTAGGACGCTTTTAGGCCTATAGTATAAAAGGTAATATCATCATATAAGCACTAGAGAAAATCAAAATCAGAAAGCACTTTATAATGTGTGCATTCAACTCACTGAGTATAAACTTTCTTTTGATAGAGCAGTTTTGAAACACTCTTTTTGTTGAATTTGGAAGTGTGTATTTAGAGCACTTTGAGGCCTATGGTAGAAAGCGATATATCTTCACAGAAAAAGTACACAGAAATATTCTCAGATAGAGCAGTTTTGAAACACTCTTTTTGTAGTTTGCAAGTGGATATTTAGAGTTCTTTGAGGCCTATGGTAGGAAAGGATATATCTTCATATAAAAACTAGACAGAAGCATTCTCAGAAACTACTTTGTGATGTTTGCATTCAACTCACGGAGTTGAAATTTCCTCTTGATAGAGCAGTTTTGAAACACTCTTTTTGTAGAATCTGACGGTGGCTATTTGAACCTCTTTGAGGCCTTTGTTGGAAACGGGATTTCTTCACATAAAACTAGACAGAAGAATTCTCAGAAACTTCTTTGTGATGTGTGCGTTCAACTCACAGAGTTTAACCTTTCTTTTGATAGAGCAGTGTTGAAGCACTTTTTTTGTAGAACCTGCAAGTGAAAATTTGGACTTTTTTGTGGCCTTCGGTGGAAACCGGTTTTCTTCACATAAAACTTGACAGAAGAATTCTCAGAAACTTTTGTGATGTGTGCATTCAGCTCACAGAATTGAACCTTCCTTTCTATAGAGCAGTTTACAAATTCTCTTTGTGTAGAATTTCCAGGTGGATATTTGGAGATGTTTCAGCCTATGATAGAAAAGGAAATACCTTCATAGAAAAACTAGACAGAATTATTCTCAGAAACTTCTTTGTGATGTGTGCATTCACCTCACAGAGTTTAAACTTTCTATTGATAGAGCAGTTTTGAAACACTCTTTTTGTGGAATTTGCAATGTATAATTTCTGCATTTTGAGGTCTACGTTAGAAAAGGAAATATCTTCACATAAAAACTAGACAGAAGCAGTGTCAGAAACTGCTTTGTGATATTTGGATTCAACTCACAGAGCTGAACATTCCTCTTGATAGACCTGTTTTGAAACGCTCTTTCTGTAGAATCTGCAAGTGGATATTTTGATCTCTTGTGACCTTCGTTTGAAAGGTGATTTCTTCCTATAATACTAGACCAAAGAATTCTCATAAACTTCTTTGTGATGTGTGTTTTCAACTCACATAGTTGAACCTTCCTTTCGATAGAGCAGTTTTGAAACTCTCTTTTTGTAGGATTTCCAAGTGGATATTTAGCGCCGTTTGAGGCCCATTGTAGAAAAGGCAATATCTTCATAGAAAAACAAGACAGAATGATTCTCAGAAACTACTTTGTGATGTGTGGGTTCAACTCACAGAGTTTAACCTTTCTTTTGATAGAGCAGTGTTGAAGCACTTTTTTTGTAGAACCTGCAATTGAATATTTGGACTTTTTTGTGGCCTTCGTTGGAAACCGGTTTTCTTCATATAATACTTGACAGTAGAATTCTCAGAAACTTCTTTGTGATGTGTGCATTCTGCTCACGGAGTTGAACCTTCCTTTTTATATAACAGTTTAGAAATACTCTTTTTGTAGAATTTCCAAGTGGATATTTAGAGCTGTTGGTGCCTATGATAGAAAAGAAAATACCTTCATAGAAAAACTAGACAGAATCATTCTCAGAAACTTCTTTGTGATGTGTGCATTCACCTCACAGAGTTTAACTTTTCTATTGATAGAGCAGTTTTAAAACACTCTTTTTGTGGAATTTGCAAGTGTACAATTAGTGCACATTGAGGTCTACGTTAGAAAAGGAAATATCTTCACATAAAAACTAGACAGAAGCAGTGTCAGAAACTGCTTTGTGATATTTGGATTCAACTCACAGAGCTGAACATTCCTCTTGATAGAGCTGTTTTGAAACACTCTTTCTGTAGAATCTGCAAGTGGATATTTAGATCTCTTGAGCCCTTCGTTTGAAACGTGATTTCTTCCTATAAAACTAGACCGAAGAATTGCCAGCAACTTCTTTGTGATGTGTGCTTTCCACTCACAGAATTGAACCTTCCTTTCGATACATCAGTTTTGACACTTTCTTTTTGTAGAATTTCCAAGTAGATATTTAGCGCCGTTTGAGGCCTATGGTAGAAAAGGCAATATCTTCATAGAAAAACTAGACATAATGATTCTCAGAAACTACTTTGTGGTGTGTGCGTTCAACCCACCTTGTTTAACGTTTCTTTAGATAGAGCAGGTTTGAAAAACTCTTTTTGTAGAATCTGAGGGTGAATATTTGGACTTTTTTGAGGCCTTCCCTGGAAACGGGTTTTCTTCATATAAACTTGACAGAAGAATTCTCAGAAACTTCTTTGTGATGTGCGCATTCAACACACCGAGTTGAACCTTCCTTTCGATAGAGCAGTTTTGAAATACTCTTTTTGTTGTATTTCCAAGTGGATATTTAGAGCGGATTGAGGCCTGTGGTAGAAAAAGTAATATCTTCACTGAAAAACTAGACAGAATCATTATCAGAAACTACTTACTGATGTGTGCATTCAGCTTACAGAGTTTAACCTTTCTTTTGATAGAGCACTTTTGAAACAAACTTTTTGTATAATCTGCAGGTGGATATTTGGACGTCTTGGTGGCCTTCGTTTGAAACGTGATTTCTTCATATAAAACTAGGCAGTAGAATTCTCAGAAACTACTTTGTGTTGTTTGCTTTCAACTCACAGAGATGAACCTTCCTTTAGATAGAGCCGTTTTGAAACAATCTTTTTGTAGAGTTTCCAAGAGGATATTTAGTGCCGTTTGAGGCCTATGGTATAAAATGAAATAACTTCATAGAAAAACTAGACAGAATTATTCTCAGAAACTACTTTGTGGTGTGTGCGTTCAACTCAAAGAGTTTAACCTTTCCTTTGATAGTGCAGTTTTGAAACACTCTTTTTGTAGAATCAACAACTGAATATTTGAACTTTTTTGAAGCCTTCATTGGAAACGGGATTTCTTCATACAAAAGTTGACAGAAGAATTCTCAGAAACTTCTATGTGATGTGTGCATTCAAGTCCCAGAGTTGAACCTTCCTTTCAATAGAGCAGCTTTGAAATACACTTTTTCCAGAATTTACAAGTGGATATTAAGAGCGGTTTGGGGTCTGTTGTAGAAAAGTAAATATCTTCATAGTAATACTAGACAGAATCATTATCAGAAACTATTTTGTGATGTGTGCATTCACTTTACAGAGTTTAACCGTTCTTTGATAGAGCAGTTTTGAAACACTGTTTTTGTGGAATTTGCAAGTGTATATTTAGAGCGCTTTGAGACCAACGGTAGAAAAGGAAATATCTTCACATAAAAACTAGACAGAAGCATTCTCAGAAACTCCTTTGTATTGTTTGCATTCAACTGACAGAGTTGAACATTACTCTTGATAGAGCAGTTTTGAAACACTATTTTGTAAAATCTGCAAGTGAATATTTGGAATTTTTTGAGGCCTACGTTGGAAACTGGATTTCTTCATATAAAATTTGACAGAAGAATTATCAGAAACTACTTTGTGATGTCTGCATTCAACTCACAGCGTTGAACCTTCCTATCGGTAGAGCAGTTTTGAAATACTCTTTTTGTAGAATTTCCAAGTGGAGATTTAGAACGGTTTGAGGCCTATGGTAGAAAAGGAAATATCTTCACATGAAAACCAGACGGAAGCATAGTCAGAAACGTTTTGATGTTTGCATTCAACTCACCGAGTTGAACATTCCTGTTGATAGAGCAGTTTTGAAACACTCTTTTCGAAGAATCTGCAAGTGGATATTTGGACCTTTTGGGACCTTCATTTGAAACGTGATTCCTTTATATAAAACTGACAGAAGAATTCTCAGAATCTTCTTTGTGATGTGTGCTTTCAACTCACAGATTTGAACCATCGTTTCGATAGAATAGCTTTGAAACGCTCTTTTTGTAGAATTTCCAGTTGGATATTTAACCCCGTTTGAGGCCTATGGTAGAAAACCCAATATCTTCATAGAAAAACTTGAGACAATGATTTTCAGAAACTACTTTGTGATGTGTGCGTTAAACTCGCAGAGTTTAACCTTTCTTTTGACAGAACAGTTTTGAAACACACTTTTTGTAGAGTCTGCAAGTGAACATTTGACCTTTTTGGGGCCTTCGTTGGAAACGGGATTTCTTCATGTAAAACTTGATAGAACAATTCTCAGAAACTCCTTTGTGATGTGTGCATTCAGCTCACAGAGTTGAACCTTCCTTTCGAAAGAGAAGTTTTCAAATATTCTTTTGCAGAATTTCCAAGCGGATATTTAGAGCGGTTTGTGGCCTACGGTAGAAAAGGAAATATCTTCATAGAAAACCTAGACAGAATAATTCTCAGAAACTACATTTTGATGTGTGCATTCAGCTTATAGAGTTTAACACTTCTTTTGATAGAGCAGTTTTGAAACACTCTTTTTGTGAAATTTGCAAGTATATATTTAGAGCGCTTCTTGGCCTAAGGTAGAAATGGAAATATCTTCACATAAATACTAGACAGAAGCATTGTCAGAAACTTCTTTGTGATATTTGCATTAAACTAACAGAGATGAACATTCCTCTTGACAGAGCAGTTTTGAAACACTCTTTTTGAAGAATCTGCAGGTGGATATTTGGAACTCTTGTTTACCTTCGTTTGAAACGAGATTTTTTCATATAAAACTAGACAGAAGAATTTTCAGAAACTTCTTTGTGATGTGTGCTTTCAACTCACAGAGTTGAACCTTCCTTTTGATAGAATAGTTTTGAAACTCTCTTTTTGTAGAATTTCCAAGTAGATATTTAGCGCCGTTGGAGGCCTATGTTAGAAAAGGCAATATCTTCATAGAAAAACTAGATAGAGTGATTCTCAGAAACTATTTTGTGATGTGTGCGGTCAACTCACAGAATTTAACCTTTCTTTTGAAAGAGCAGTTTTGAAACACTATTTTTGTGGAATTTGCAAGTGCATATTTACAGCGCTTTGAGGCCTATGGTAGAAAAGGAAAAACCTTCACATAAAAACTACACAGAGGCATTATCAGAAACTACTTTGCGATATTTGCATTCAAGCCACAGAGTTGAACATTCCTCTTGATGGAGCAGTTTTGAAACACTCTTTTTGTAGAATCTGCAATTGGGTATTTGGACCCCTTTGTAGCCTTCGTTTGAAACGTGATTTCTTCATATAAAACTAGACAGAAGAATTCTCAGAAACTTCTTTGTCATGTGTGCTTTCAACTCACTGGGTTGAACCTTCTTTTCGATACAGCAGTTTTGAAGCTCACTTTCTCTAGAATTTCCAAGCGGATATTTAGTGCCGTTTGATGCCTATGGTAGAAAAGGCAATAATTTCATAGAAAAACTAGACAGAAGGAATCTCAGAAACTACTTTGTGATGTGTGCATTCAACTCACAGAGTTTAAAATTTCTTTTGATAGAGCTGTTTTGAAACACTCTTTTTGTAGAATCTGCAAGTGAATATTTGGGCTTTTTGGAGGCCTTCATTGGAAACGTGATTTCTTCATATAAAACTTGACAGAGGAATTATCAGAAACTTCTTTTTGATGTGTGCATTCTACTCACAGAGTTGAACCTTCCTTTTGATAGAGCAGTTTTGAAATAATCTTTTTGTAGAAATTCCAAGTGGATATTTAGAGCGGTTTTGGGCCTGTGGTAGGCAAGGAAATATCTTCATGGAAAAACTAGCCAGATTCATTCTCAGAAACTGCTTTGTGATGTGTGCATTCTATACGCCGAGTTTAACCTTCCTCTTAATAGAGTAGTTCTGAAACGCTCTTTTTGTAGCATTTGCAAGTGTGTATTTAGAGGGCTTTGAGGCCTACAGTAGAAAAGGAAATATCTTCATATAAAAACTAGACAGAAGCATTCTCAGAAACTACTTTGTGATGTTTTCATTCAACTCACAGAGTTCAACCTTCCCTTTGATAGAGCAGTTTTGAAACACTCTTTCTGTAGAATCTTCAAGTGGATATTTGGACCTCTTTGAGGTCTTCGTTGGTAACGGATATTTCTTCACATAAATACTAGACAGAAGAATTCTCAGAGAGATTTGTGATTTGTGCCTTCAACTCACAGAGTTGAACCTTCCTTACGATATTGCAGTTTGATACACTCTTTTTGTAGAATTTCCACGTGGATATTTAGAGGGCTTTTCAAAGCCTACGGTTGAAAAGGATATATCTTCATATAAAAACTACACAGAATCATTCTCAGAAGCTACTTTGTGATGTGTGCATTCAACTCACAGAGTTTAACCTTTCTTTTCATAGAGCAGTTTTGGAACACTCTGTTTGTAAAGTCTGCATCTGGATATTTGGAGCGCTTTGAGGTTTTTTTGGAAACGGGAATTTCTTCACATAAAAAGTAGACAGAAGTATTCTCAGAAACTTCTTTGTGATGTCTGTACTCAGCTCTCAGAGGTGAAACTTCCTTTTGATAGAGCAGTTTTGAAAAACTCTTTTTGTAGCGTTTGCAAGAGGATATTTAGAGCGCTTTGAGGCCTGCAGTAGGAAAGAAAATATCTTCACATAAAAACTAGACAAGCATTCTCAGAAACTACTTTTTGATGTTTGCATTCAAATTACAGAGTTGAACATTCCTCTTTATACAGCAGTTTTGAAACATCCTTTTTGTAGGATCTGCAAGTGGATATTTGGACCGCATTGAGGGCTTCGTTGGAAATGGGATTTCTTCATATAAAACTAGACAGAAGAATTCTCAGAAACTTCTTTGTGATGTGTGCATTCAACTCACAGAGTTGAACCTTCATTTTGATAGAGCAGATTTGAAACACACTTTTTCTAGAATTTCCATGTGGATATTTAGAGCTCTTTGAATCCTATGGTAGAAAAGGAAATACCTTCATTTAAAAACTAGAGAGAATCATTCCCAGAAACTACTTTGTAATGTTTGGGTTCCACTCACAGTGTTTAACCTTTCTTTTGATATAGCAGTTTTGAAACACTCCGTATGAAATGTCTGCATCTTGATATTTGGAGCGCTTTGAGGTTTTCATTATAAACTAGAATATCTTCACATAAAAAGTAGACAGAAATGATCTGAGAAACGTCTTTGTGATGTCTGTACTCAACTCACAGAGGTGAATCTTCCTTTTGATAGAGCAGTATTGAAACACTCTTTTTGTAGAATTTGCAAGTGTGTATTTAGAGGGCTTTGAGGCTTATGGTAGAAAAGGGAATATCTTCTCATAAAAACTAGACAGAAGCATTTTCAGAAACTACTTTGTGATGTTTGCATTCAACTAACAGAATTGAACATTCCTCTTGATAGAGCAGTCTTGAAACACTTTTTTTGTAGAATTTGCAAATGGGTATTTAGGGCGCTTTGAGGCCTGTGGTAGAAAAGGAAATATCTTCATATAAAAACGAGACGGAATCATTATCAGAAAATATTTTGTGATGTGTGCATTCAACTCACTGAGTTTAACCTTTCTTTTTATAGAGCAGTTTTGAAACACTCTTTTTGGAGAATTTGCAAGTGTGTATTTAGAGCGCTTTGAGGCCTATGTTAGAAAAGGAAATATCTTTCCATAAAAACTAGACAGAAGCATTCTCAGAAACTAATTTGTGATGTTTGCATTCAACTCACAGAGTTGAACATTCCTCTTGATAGAGCAGTTTTGAAACACTCTTTTTGTAGAATCTGCAAGTGGATATTTGGACCAGTCTGAGACCTTCGTTGGAAACGGGATTTCTTCAAATAAAATTAGACAGAAGAATTGTCAGCAACTTCTTTGTGATGCGTGCATTCAACTCACAGAGTTGAACGTTCCTTTTGATTGAGCAGATTAGAAACACTCTTTTTGTAGAATTTCCAAGTTGATATTTAGATCGCTTTGAACCCTATGGTAGATAAGGAAATATCTTCATATAAAAATAATCAGAATGATTCCCAGAAACTGCTTTGTGATGTTTGTGTTCAACTCACAGAGTTTAACCTTTCTTTTGATAGAGCAGTTTTGAGACACTCTTTTTGAAAATTCTCCATCTTGAGATTTGGAGTGCTTTGAGGTTTTCATCATAAACTTGAATATCTTCACATAAAAAGTAGACAGAAGTATTCTCAGAAACGTCTTTGTGATGTCTGTACTCAACTCACAGAGGTGAAACTTTCTTTTGATAGAGCAGTTTTGAAACACTCTTTTTGCAGAATTTGCAAGTGTGTATTTTGAGAGCTTTGAGGCCTATGGTTCAAAAGTGAATATCTTCACATAAAAACTAGAGAGAAGCATTCTCAGAAACTACTTTGTGATGTTCGCATTCAACTAACATAATTGAACATTCCTCTTGATACAGCAGTTTTGAAACACTCTTTTTGTAGAATCTGCAAGTGGATATTTGGACCTCTTTGAGACCTTCGTTGGAAACGGGATTTCTTCAAATAAAACCAGACAGAAGAATTGTCAGAAACTTCTTTGTGATGCGTGCATTCAACTGACAGAGTTGAACCTTCCTTTTGATAGTTCAGATGTGAAACACTCTTTTTGTAGAATTTCCAAGTGGATATTTAGAGCACTTTGTATACTATGGTAGAAAAGGAAGTATCTTCATATAAAGACTTGACAGAATCATTCCCAGAAACTGGTTTGTGACGTTTGAGTTCAACTCACAGAGTTTAACCTTTATTTTGATAGAGCAGTTTTGAAACACTCTGTTTTCAAAGTCTCCATCTGGATATGTGGAGCGCTTTGAGGTTTTCTTTGGAAACGGGAATATCTCCACATAAAAAGTAGACAGAAGTATTCTCTGAAAATTCTTTGTGATGTCTGTACTCAACTCACAGAGGTGAACCTTCCTTTTGACAGAGCAGTTTTGAATGTCTCTTTTTGTAGAGTTTGCAAGTGGATATTTAGAGCTCTTTGAGGCCTATTGTAGAAAAGGAAATATCTTCACATAAAAACTACACAGAAGCATTCTCAGAAACCGCTTTGTGATGTTTACATTCAACTCACAGAGTTGAACATTCCTCTTTATGTAGCAGTTTTGAAACACTCTTTTTGTAGAATCTGCAAGTGGATATTTGGACCTCTTTGAGGCCTTCGTTAGAAACGGGATTTCTTCATATTAAACTTGACAGAAGAATTCTCAGAAAGTTCTTTGTGATGTGTGCATTCAACTCACACAGTTGAACCTTCATTTTGATAGAGTAGATATGAAACACTCTTTTTGCAGAATTTCCAAGTGGATATTTAGAACGCTTTGAATCCTATGGTAGAAAAGTAAATATCCTCATATAAACACTAGACAGAATCATTCCCAGAAACTGCTCTGTGATGTGTGCGTTCAACTCACTGAGTTTAACCATTCTTTTGATAGAGGAGTTTTGAAACACTCTTTTTGTATAATTTGCAAGTGTGTATTTTGAGTGCTTTGAAGTCTATGGTAGAGAAGGAAATATCTTCACATAAAACACGAAACAGAAGTATTCTCAGAAACTGCTTTGTGATGTTCGCATTCAACTCACAGAGTTGAACATTCCAATTGACAGAGCAGTTTTGAAACACTCTTTTTGTAGAATCTCCTAGTGGATATTTGGACCACTATGAGGCCTTCATTGGAAACAGGATTTCTTCATATAAAACTAGACAGAAGAATTCTCAGAACCTTTTTTGTGATGTGTGCATCCAACTCACAGAGCTGAACATTCCTTTTGATAGAGCAGATTTGAAACACTCTTTTTGTATAATTTCCAAGAGAATATTTAGAGCACATTGAATCCTATGGTTCAAAAGGGAATATCTTCATACAAAAACTAGACAGAATCATTCCCAGAAACTACTATGTGATGTGTGCATTCAACTGACAGAGTTTAACCTTCCTTTCGATAGAGCTGTTTTGAAATACTCTTTTTGCAGTATTTCAAAGTGGATATTTAGAACGGTTTAGGCCTGTTTTATACAAGGAAATATCTTCATAGAAAAACTAGACAGAATAATTCTCAGAAACTACATTGTGATGTGTGCATTCAGCTTACTGAGTTTAAGCTTTCTTTTGATAGAGCAGTTTTGAAACACTCATTTTGTGGAATTTTCTAGTGTATATTTAGAGCGCTTTGAGGCCTAAGGTAGAAAAGGAAATATCTTCACATAAAAACTAGACAAAAACATTGTCAGAATCTATTTTGTGACATTTGTATTCAACTCACAGAGTTGAAAATTCCTTTTGATAGAGCAGTTTTGAAACACTCTTTTTGTAGAATCTACAAGTGGATATTTGAACCTCTTTGTGGCCTTCATTTCAAACATGATTTCTTCATACAAAACTAGACTGAAGAACTCTCAGAACCTTCTTTGTGATGTGTGCTTTCAACTCACACAGTTGAAACTTTCTTTTGATAGAGCAGTTTTGAAACTCTCTTTTTTGTAGAATTTCCAAGTGGATATTTAGCACCGTTTGAGGCCTATGTTAGAAAAGGAAATATCTTCTTAGAAAAACTAGATAGAATGATTCTGAGAAACTACTTTGGGATGTGTGCTTACGACTCACAGAGTTTAACCTTTCTTTGGATAGAGCTTTTTTGAAACAGTCTTTTTGTAGAATCTACAAGTGAATATTTGGACTTTTGGAGGCCTTCCTTGGAAACGGGATTTCTTCATAGAAAACTTGACAGAAGAATTCTCAGAAACTTCTATGTGATGTGCGCATTCAACTCACAGAGTTAAACCTTCCTTTCAATAGAGAAGTTTTGAAATACTCCTCTTTTGTAGAATTTCCATGTGGATATTTAGAGCTGTTTGAGGCCTATGGTAGAAAAAGAAATATCTTCTTAGAAAAATTAGAGAGAATCATTCTCAGAAACTGATTTGTGATGTGTGCTTTCAGCTTACAAAGTTTAACCTTTCTTTTGATAGAGCAGTTTTGAAACACTCTTTTTGTGGAATTTTCATGTGTATATTTACAGCGCTTTCAGGCCTACGGTAGAAAAGTAAGTATCTTCATATAAAAACCAGACAGAAGCATTGACGGAAACTATTTTGTGATATTTGCATTCAAATCACAGAGTTGAACACACCTCTTGAGAGAGCAGTTTTGAAACACTCTTTTTGTAGAATCTGCCAGTGGATATTTGGACTTCTTCATGTCCTTCGTTTGAAACGTGATTTCTTCATCTAAAACTAGACAGAACAATTCTCAGAAACTTCTTTGTGATGTATGCTTTCAACTCACAGAGTTGAACATTCCTTTCGATAGAGGAGTTTTGAAAGTCTCTTTTTGTAGAATTTCCAAGTGGATATTTAGCGCCGTTTGGGGCCTATGGTAGAAAAGGAAATATCTTCATACAAAAACTAGACAGAATGATTCTCAGAAAAGACTTTGTCATGTGTACGGTCAACTCACAGAGTTTAACTTTTCTTTTGATAGAGCCGTTTTGAAACACTCTTTTTGTAGAATCAGCATTGAAAATTTGGACTTTTTTGGGACCTCCGTTGGAAACGGGATTTCTTCATTGAAATGTGACAGAAGAATTCTCCGAAACTTCTTTGGGATGTGTGCATTCAACTCACAGTGTTGAACCCTTCTTTCGATAGAGCAGTTTTGAAATACTCTTTTTGTAGGATTTCCAAGTGGATAATCAGAGCGGTTTCAGTCCTGTGGTAGAAAAGGAAATATCTTTATAGAAAAACTAGACAGAATCATTCTCTGAAACTACTTTGTGAAGTGTGCATTCGGGTTACAGAGTCTAACCGTTCTTTTTATAGAGCAGTTTAGATTCACTCTTTTTGTGGGGTTTGCTAGTGTATATTTACAGCGCTTTGAGGCCGATGGAAGAAAAGGAAATATCTTCACATAAAAACTAGACAGAAGCACTGTCATAGACTACTTTGTGATATTTGATTCAACTTACAGAATTGAACATTCCTCTTGATAGAGCAGTTTTGAAACACTCTTTTTGTAGAATCTGCAAGTGGATATTTGAAGCTCTTTGTGGCCTTCTTTTGAAACGTGATTTCTTCATATGAAAATAGAAAAATTCTCAGAAAGTTCTTTGTGATGTGTGCTTTCAACTCACAGAGTTGAACCTTCCTTTCGATAGAGCAGTTTTGAAACTCTCTTTTTGTTGACTTTCCAAGTGGATATTTTGCGCTGTTTGAGGCCTATGGTAGAAAAGGCTATATCTTCATAGAAAAATTAGACAGAATGATTCCCAGAAACTACATCGTGCTGTGAGCGTTCAACTCACAGTGTTTAATCTTTCCTTTGATAGAGCGGTTTTAAAACACTGTTTTTGTAGAATCTGCAAGTGAATATTTGGAGTTTTGGGGGCCTTCGTTGGAAACGGGATTTCTTCATATAAAATGTGACAGAAGAATTCTCAGAAACTTCTTTGTGATGTGTGCATTCAAATCACACAATTGAACCTTCCTTTTGATAGAGCACTTTCATAGAAAAACAAGACAGAATCATTCTCAGAAACTACTTTGGGATGTGTGCATTCAGCTTACAGGGTTTAACATTATTTTGAAAGAGCAGGTTTGAAACCCTCTTTCTGTTGAGTTTGCTAATGTATATTTAGAGCGCTTTGAGGCCTATGGTAGAAATGCAAATACCTTCACATAAAATCTACACAGAAGCATAGTCAGAAACTCCTTTGTGATATTTGAATTCAACTCACAGAGTTGAACATTCCTCTTGATAGAGCAGTTTGAAACACTCCTTTTCAGGACCTGCAAGTGGGTATTTGGACCTCTTTCTGGCCTTCTTTTTTATCGTGATTTCTTCATATAAAACTAGACAGAAGAATTCTCAGAAACTTCTTTGCGATGTGTGCTTTCAACTCACAGAGATGAACCTTCCTTTCGATAGAGCAGTATTGAAACTGTCCTTTTGTAGAATTTCGAAGTGGATATTTAGCGCCATTTGAGGCCTAAGGAACAAAAGGCAATATCTTCATAGAAAAAATAGAATGATTCTCAGAAACTACTTTGTCATGTGTGCGTTAAACTCATAGAGTTTAACTTTCTTTTGATAGAGCAGTTTTGAAACACTCTTTTTGTAGAATCTGCAAGTGAATATTTGGACCTTTTGGTGGCCTTCGTTGGAAACGGGATTTCTCCATATAAAACGTGACAGAAGAATTCTCAGACACTTCTTTGTGATGTGTGCATTCAACTCACAGAGCTGAATCTCCCTTTCGATAGAGCAGTTTTGAAATACTCTTTTGGTAGAATTTCGAAGTGGATATTTAAAGCGGTTTGAGGACTTTGGTAGAAAAGGAAATATCTTCATAGAAAAACTAGACAAAATCATTGTCAGAAACTACTTTGTGCTGTGGACATTCACCCTACAGAGTTTAACCTTTCTTTTGATAGAGCAGTTTTGAAACACTCTTTTTGAGGAATTTGCAAGTGAATATTTAGAGCGCTTTGAGGCCTACGGTAGAAAAGGAAATATCTTCACTTAAAAACTAGACAGAAGCATTTTCAGAAACTACTTTGAGATATTTGCATTCAACTCACACAGTTGAACATTCCTCTTCATAGAGCAGTTTTGAAACACTCTTTTTGTAGAATCTGCAAGCGGATATTTGGACCTTTTTGTGGCCTTCGTTTGAAACGTGATTTCTACATATAAAACTAGAGAGAAGAATTCTCAGAAACTTCGTTGCGACGTGAGCTTTCAACTCACAGTGTTGAACCTTCCTTTCGATGCAGCAGTTTTGAAAATCTATTTTTGTAGAATTTCCAAGTGGATATTTTGCGCCGTTTGAGGCCTATGGTTCAAAAGCCAATATCTTCATAGAAAAACTAGACAGAGTGATTCTCAGAAAGTACTTTGTGATGTGTGCGTTCAAATCACAGAGTTTAACTTTTCTTTTGATAGTATTGAAACTCTCTTTTTGTGGAATTTGCAAGTGTATATTTAGAGCGCTTTGAGGCCTGTGGTAGACAAGGAATTATCTTCACATAAAAACTAGACAGAAGCATTGTCAGAAACTACTGCATGATATTTGCATTCAACTCACAGAGATGAACATTCCTCTTGATAGAGTAGTTTTGAAAAACTCTTTTTGTAGGATCTTCTAGTGAATATTTGGACTTTTGGGGGGCTTTAGTTTGAAACGTGATTTCTTCATATAAAACGTGACAGAAAAATTCTCTGAAACTTCTTCGTGATGTGGGCATTCAACTCAGAGATTTCAACCTATCTTTCGATAGAGCAGATTTGAAATACTCTTTTTGTAGAATTTCCAAGTGGAGATTTCGAGCTGTTTGAGACCTGTAGTAGAAAAGGAAATATCTTCATAGAAAAACTAGACAGAATCATTGTCAGAAACTACTTTGTGATGTGTGCATTCAGCTTACAGAGTTTACCCTTTGTTTTGATAGAGCAGTTTTGTAACAGTTTTTTCAGGATTTTGCAAGCGTATATTTAGAGAACTTTGAGTCCTACGGTAGAAAAGGAAATATCTTCACATAAAAACAAGACAGAAACATTGTCGGGAAACTATTTTGTGATATTTGCATTCAACTCACAAAGTTGAACATTCCTCTTGATAGAGCAGTTTTGAGACACTCTTTTTGTAGAATCTGCAAATGGATATTTTGACCTCTTTGTGGCCTTCGTTTGAAATGATATTTCTTCCTATAAAACTAGACAGAAGAATTCTCAGAAACTTCTTTGTGATGTGTGCTTTCAACTCACAGAGTTGAAACTTCCTTTCGATAGAGCAGTTTTGAAACTCTCTTTTTGTAGAATTTCCAAGAGTATATGTAGCGCCGTTTGAGGCCTATGGTAGAAAAGACAATATCTTCATAGAAAAATTCGACAGAATAATTCTGAGAAACTACTTTGTGATGAGGGCGTTCAACTCACAGAGTTTAACCTTTCTTTTGATAGAGCAGTTTTGAAACACTCTTTTTGTAGAATCTGCGAGTGGATATTTGGACCTCTTTGTGGCCTTCGTTAGAAACGTGATTTCTTCATATAAAACTACACAGAAGAATTCCCAGAAACTTCTTTGTGATGTGTGCTTTCAACTCGAAGAGTTGAAACTTCCTTTCCATAGAGCAGTTTTGAAACTCTCGTTTTGTAGTATTTCCAAGTGGATATTTAGCGCCGCGTGAGGCCTATGGTAGAAAAGTCATTATCTCCATAGAAAAACTATACAGAATGATTCTCAGAAATTCCTTTGTGGTGTGAGCATTTAACTCAAAAAGTTTACCTTTCTTTTGATAGAGCAGTTTTGAAACACTCTTTTTGTAGAATCTGCAAGTGAATATTAGGCGTTTTTGGGGCCTCCGTTGGAAACGGGATTTCTTCAGTTAAAACGTGATAGAAGAATTCTCAGAAACTTCTTTGTCATGTGTGCATTCGATTCACAGAGATGAGCCTTATTTCGATAGAGCAGTTTTGAAATACTCTTTTTGTAAAATTTCCATTTTGATATTTAGTGCGGTTTGATGCCTATGGTAGAAAAGGAAATGCCTTCATAAGAAAAACAAGAGAGAATCATTATCAGAAACTACTTTGTGATGTGTGCATTAAGCTTACAAGCTTTAAACTTTCTTTTTATAGAGCAGTTTTGAATCACTCTTTTTGTGGAATTTGCATGTGTATATTTAGAGTGCTTTGAGACCTACGGCAGAAAAGGAAATATCTTCACATAAAAACTAGACGGAAAAATTGTGAGAAACTACATTGTGATATTTGCATTCAACTCCCAGAGTTGAACATTCCTCTTGATAGAGCCGTTTTGAAACACTCTTTTTGTAGTATCTGCAATTGGATATTTGGAACTCCCTGTGGCCTTCCTTTGAACCTTGATTTCTTCACATAAAACTATACAGAAGAATGCTCAGAAACTTCTTTCTGATATGTGCTTTCAACTCACAGAGTTGAAGCTTCCTTTCGATAGAGCAGTTTTGAAACTTTCTTTTTGTAGTATTTCCAAGTGGATATTTGGCGCCGCTTGAGGCCTATGGTAGAAAAGGCAATACCTTCGAAGAAAAACTAGACAGAATGATTCTCAGAAACTGCTTTGTGATGTGTGCGTTCAAGTCACAGAGATTAACCTTTCTTTTGATAGAGCAGTTTTGAAACACTCTTTTTGTAGGATCTCCAAGTGAATATTTGGACTTTTTTGAGGGCTTCTTTGGAAACAGGATTTCTTCATATAAAACTTGACAGAATAATTCTCAGAAACTTCTTTGGGAGGTGTGCATTCAACTCACACAGTTGAACCTTCCTTTCGATAGAGTAGTTTTGAAATACTCTTTTTGTAGAATTTCCAAGTGGATATTTAATGAGGTTTGAGGCCTATGATAGAAAAGGAAATATCTTCACAGAAAAACCAGATAGAATCATTATAAGAAACTTCTTTGTGATGGGTGCATTCAGCTTACGGAGTTTAACCTTTCTTTTGATAGAGCAGTTTTGAAACACTCTTTTTGAGGAATTTGAAAGTGTATATATAGAGCACTTTAAGGCCTACAGTAGAAAAGTAAATATCTTCACATAAAAACTAGACAGAAGCATTGTTACAAACTACTTTGTGATGTTTGCATTCAACTCACAGAGTTAATCATTCCTCTTAATAGAGCAGTTTTGAAATACTCTTTTTGCAGAATCTGCAAGTGGATATTTGGACTTTTTTGAGGCCTTCGTTGGAAACAGGATCTCTTCATATAAAACTTGACAGAGGAATTGATAGAAACTTCTTTGGGAGCTGTGCATGCAACTCACAGAGTTGAACCTTCCTTTCGATACAGCAGTTTTGAAATACACTTTTTGTAGCATTTAAAGTGGATATTTTGTGCTGTTTGAGGCCTATGGTAGAAAAGGAAATGTCTTCAGAGAAAAACAAGATATGATGGTTATCAGAAACTACTTTGTGATGTGTGCATTCAGCTTACAGAGTTTAACCTTTCTTTTGATAGAGCAGTTTTGAAACACTATTTTTGTGGAATTTCCAAGTGTATATTTAGAGCGCGTTGAGGCCTATGGTGGAAAAGGAAATATCTTCACATAAAAAATAGACAAAAGCATTTTCAGAAACTACTTTGTGATATTGGCATTCAAGTCACAGAGTTGAACATTCCTTTTGAAAGCGCAGTTTGAAACACTCTTTGTGTAGAATCTGCAATTGAATATTTGGTCCTCTTTGTGGCGTTCGATTGAAACGTGATTTCTTCATATAAACAAGACAGAAAAATTCTCAGAAACTTCTTTGTGATGTGTGCTTTCAACTCACAGAGTTGAACCTTGCTTTCGATATAGCAGTTTTGAAACTCTCTTTTTGTAGGACTTCCAAGTGGGTATTTAGCGCCGTTTGAGGCCTATCGTAGAAAAGGCAGTATCTTCAAAAAAAACTAGACAGAATCATTCTCAGAAACTACTTTGTGATGTGTGCGTTCATCTCAAAGGGTTTAACCTTTCTGTTGATAGAGCAGTTTTGAAGCACTCTTTTTGTGGGATCGCAAGTGAATATTTGGACTTTTTTGAATCCTTCGTTGGAAACGGGTTTTCTACATATAAAATTGAACAGAAGAATTCTCAGAATCGTATTTCTGATGTGTGCATTCACCTCACAGGTTTGAACCTTCCTTTCGATAGTGCAGTTTTGGAATAATCTTTTTGTAGAATTTCCAAATGGATATTTAGCACCTTTTGAGGCCTATGGTAGACAAAGAAATATCTTCATAGAAAAACTAGACGAAATCATTCTCAGAAACTACTTTGTGATGTGTACATTCAGCTTACAGAGTTTAATCTTTCTTTTGATAGAGCAGTTTTGAAACACTCTTTCTGTGGAATCTCCAAGTGTATATTTAGATCGCTTTGAGGCCTACGGTAGAAAAGGAAATATCCTCACATAAAACCTAGACAGAAGCATTGTCAGAAACGACTTTGTGATATTTGCATTCACCTCACAGTGTTGAACAGTCCTCTTGATAGAGCCGTTTTGAAATACTCTTTTTGTAGAATCTGCAATTGATTATTTGGACCTCTTTGTGGCCTTCGTTTGAAACGTGCTTTCTTCATATAAAACTAGACAGAAGAACTCTTAGAAACTTCTTTGTGTTGTGTGTTTTCAACTCACAGAGTTGAACCTTCCTTTCCATAGAGCAGTTTAGAAACTCTCTTTTTGTAGAATTTCCAAATGGATATATAGGGCCGTTTGAGGCCTATGGTAGAAGAGGCAATATCTTCATGGAAAAAATTGACGGAATGATTCTCAGAAACTAGTTTGTGATGTGTGCATTCAACTCACAGACTTTAACCTTTCTTTTATAGAGAAGTTTTGAAACACTTTTTTTGTAATATCTGCAACTGAATATTTGGACTTTTTTGAGGCCTTCTTTGGAAACGGGATTTCTTCATATAAAACTTGACAGAAGAATTATCAGAAACTTATTTAGGAGGTGTGCATTCAACTCACAGAGTTGAACCCTCCTTTCGATAGGGCAGTTTTGAAAGACTCTTTTTGTAGAATTTCAAAGTGGATATTTAGTGCGGTTTGAGGCCTATGGTAGAAAAGGAACTATCTTCATAGAAAAACAAGATAGATAGAATTGTTATCAGAAACTACTTTGTGATGTGTGCATTATGCTTACAGTGTTTAACCTTTTTTTTGATAGAGCAGTTTTGAAACACTCTTTTCGTGGAATTTGCAAGTGTGTATTTAGAGCGATTTGAGGCCTACAATAGGAAAGGAAATATCTTCACTTAAAAACTAGACAGAAGCATTGTCAGAAACTATTTTGTGATATTTGCATTCAACTCACAGAGTTGAACATTCCTCTTGATAGAGGAGTCTTGAAATACTCTTGTTGTAGAATCTGCAAGTGAATATTTGGACTTTTTTTGATGCCTTCGTTGGAAAGGGGATTTCTTCATATAAAACTTGACAGAAGAATTGTCAGAAACTTATTTAGGAGGTGTGCATTCAACTCACAGAGTTGGACCTTCCTTTTGATAGAGCAGTTTTGAAATACTCTTTTTGTATAATTTTCAAGTGGATATTCAGTGCGGTTTGAGGCCTCTGGTGGAAAAGGAAATGTCTTCAGAAAAAAACAAGGAAGAATCATTTTCAGAAAACACTTTGTGAAGCGTGTATTCAGCTTACAGTGCTTAACCTTTGTTTTGATAGAGCAGTTTTGAAGCACTCTTTTTGTGGGATTTCCAAGTTTAAAGTTGGAGCACTTTGAGGACTACGGTAGGAAAGGAAATATCTTCACTTAAAAACTAGACAGAAGCATTGTCAGAAATTCCTTTGTGATGTGTGCATTCAGTTTATAGAGTGTAACATTTCTTTTTATAGAGCAGTTTTGAAACACACTTTTTGTGGAATTTGCAAATGAATATTTAGAGCACTTTGAGGCCTACAGTAGAAAAGTAAATATGTTCACACAAAAACTAGACAGAAACATTGTCAGAAACCACTTTGTGATATTTGCATTCAACTCACAGTGTTGAACATTCCTCTTGATAGAGCAGTTTTGAAATACTCTTTTTGTAGAATCTGCAATTGATTATTTGGACCTCTTTGTGGCCTTCGTTTGAAACGTGCTTTCTTCATATAAAACTAGACAGAAGAACTCTTAGAAACTTCTTTGTGTTGTGTGTTTTCAACTCACAGAGTTGAACCTTCCTTTCCATAGAGCAGTTTAGAAACTCTCTTTTTGTAGAATTTCCAAATGGATATATAGGGCCGTTTGAGGCCTATGGTAGAAGAGGCAATATCTTCATGGAAAAAATTGACGGAATGATTCTCAGAAACTAGTTTGTGATGTGTGCATTCAACTCACAGACTTTAACCTTTCTTTTATAGAGAAGTTTTGAAACACTTTTTTTGTAATATCTGCAACTGAATATTTGGACTTTTTTGAGGCCTTCTTTGGAAATGGGATTTCCTCATATAAAACTTGACAGAAGAATTCTCAGAAACGTATTTAGGAGGTGTGCATTCAACTCACAGTGTTGAACCCTCCTTTCGATAGGGCAGTTTTGAAAGACTCTTTTTGTAGAATTTCAAAGTGGATATTTAGTGCGGTTTGAGGCCTATGGTAGAAAAGGAACTATCTTCATAGAAAAACAACATAGAATCGTTATCAGAAACTACTTTGTGATGTGTGCATTATGCTTACAGTGTTTAACCTTTATTTTGATAGAGCAGTTTTGAAACGCTCTTTTCGTGGAATTTGCAAGTGTGTATTTAGAGCGATTTGAGGCCTATGGTAGAAAAGGAAATATCTTCACTTAAAAACTAGACAGAAGCATTGTCTGAAATTACTTTGTGATATTTGCATTCAACTCACAGAGTTGAACATTCCTCTTGATAGAGGAGTCTTGAAATACTCTTGTTGTAGAATCTGCAAGTGAATATTTGGTCTTTTTTGAGGCCTTCGTTGGAAAGGGGATTTCTTCATATAAAACCTGACAGAAGAATTGTCAGAAACTTATTTAGGAGGTGTGCGTTCAACTCACAGAGTTGGACCTTCCTTTTTTTGATAGAGCAGTTTTGAAATACTCTTTTTGTATAATTTTCAAGTGGATATTTAGTACGGTTTGAGGCCTCTGGTGGAAAAGGAAATGTCTTCAGAAAAAACAAGGAAGAATCATTTTCAGAAAACACTTTGTGAAGTGTGTATTCAGCGTACAGTGCTTAACCTTTTTGATAGAGTAGTTTTGAAGCACTCTTTTTGTGGAATTTCCAAGTTTAAAGTTGGAGCACTTTGAGGGCTACGGTAGAAAAGGAAATATCTTCACTTAAAAACTAGACAGAAGCATTGTCAGAAATTCCTTTGTGATGTGTGCATTCAGTTTATAGAGTGTAACATTTCTTTTTATAGAGCAGTTTTGAAACACACTTTTTGTGGAATTTGCAAATGAATATTTAGAGCACTTTGAGGCCTACAGTAGAAAAGTAAATATGTTCACACAAAAACTAGACAGAAGCATTGTCAGAAACCACTTTGTGATATTTGCATTCAACTCACAGTGTTGAACATTCCTCTTGATAGAGCAGTTTTGAAAGACTCTTTTTTTAGAATCTGCAAGTGAATGTTTGCGTTTTTTGAGGCCTTCGTTGGAAACGGGATTTCTTCATATAAAATTTGACAGAGGAATTCCCAGAAACTTCTGTGTGATGTGTGCATTCAATTCACAGTGTTGAACATTCCTTTCAATAGAGCAGTGTTGAAATACTCTTTTTGCAGGATTTCCTAGTGTATAGTTTTGGCGGTTTTCAGGCCAGTGGTATAAAAGGAAATATCTTCTTAGAAACACTAGACAGAATCATCCTGAGAAACTAGTTTGTGTTGTGTGCTTTCAGCTTACAGAATTTAACATTTCTTTTGATAGAGCAGTTTTGAAACACTCTTTTTGTGGAATTTGTAAGTGTATATTTAGAGTGCTTTGAGGCCTACGGTAGAAAAGGAAATATCTTCACAAAAAAACTCGACAGAAGCATTGTCAGAAACTAGTTTGCGATATTTGCAATCAACTCACAGAGTTGAAAATTTCTCTTTATAGAGCAGTTTAGAAACACTCTTTTTGTAGAATCTGCAAGTGGATAATTGGAACTATTTGTGGCCTTCGTTTGAAACGTGGTTTCTTCATATAAAATTAGACAGAAGAAATATCACAAAGTTATTTCTGTTGTGTGCTTTCAACTCACAGTGTTGAACCTTCCTTTTGATGGAGCAGTTTTGAAACTCTCTTTTTGTAAGATTTCCAAATGGATATTTAGCGCTGTTTGAGGCCTATGGTTGAAAAGGCGATATCTTCATAGAAAAACTGGACAGAATGATTCTTAGAAACTACTTTGTGATGTGTGCATTCAATTCACAGAGTTTCACCTTTCTTTTGATAGAGCAGTTTTGAAAAGCTCTTTTTGTAGAATCTGCAAGTGAATATTTGGACTTTTTTGAGGCCTTCGTAGGAAAGGGGATTTCTTCATATAAAACTTGACAGAAGAATTCCCAGAAACTTCTTTGTGATGTGTGCATTTATCTTACAGATTTGAATCTTCCTTTCGATAGAGCAGTTTTGAAATACTCTTTTTGTAGAATTTCCAAGCGGATATTAAGTATGGTTTGAGGCCTATGGTAGAACAGTAAATACCTTCAGTGAAAAACTAGACAGAGTAATTCTCAGAAACTACTTTGTGATGTGTGCATTCAGATTACCGAGTTTAACCTGTGTTTTTATAGAGGAGTTTGAAACACTCTTTTTGTGTAATTTGCAAGTCTATATTTAGAGAGCTTTGTGGCCTACAATAGAAAATGATATATTTTCACATAAAAGCTAGAAAGAAGCTTTGTCAGAAACTATTTTGGATATTTGCATTCAACTCACAGAGTTGAACTTTCCTCTTGATAGAGCAGTTTTGAAACACTCTTTTTGTAGAATCTGCAAGAGGACATTTGATCCTCTTCCTGGCCTTCTTTTGAAACGTTAACTCTTCATATAAAAGTAGACAGAAGAATTCTCAGAAACTTTTTTGTGATGTGTGCATTCAAGTCACAGAGTTGAACCTTCCTTTCAATAGAGCAGTTTCGAAATACTCTTTTTGTAGAATTTCCAATTGGATATTTAGTGCCATTTCAGGACTATGGTAGAAAAGGCAATATCTTCATAGAAAAACTAGACAGAATGTTTGTCAGAAACTACTTTGGAATGTGTGCGTTCAACACACACAGTTAAACCGTTCTTTTGATAGGGTAGTTTTTAAGAACTCTGTTTGTAGTATATGCAAGTGAATATTTGGCCTTTTTGGAGGACTTCGTAGGAGACGGGATTTCGTAACATAAAAGTTGACTGAAGAATTCTCAGAACCTACTTTATGATGTGTTGATTCAACTCACAGAGTTGAACCTCCCTTTCGATAGAGGAGTTTTGAAATACTCTTTTTGTAGTATTTCCAACTGAATATTTAGAGCGGTGTGAGACCTATGGTAGAAAAGGAAATATCTTCATAGAAAACCTAGGCAGAGTCATTCTCAGAAACTACTTTGTGATGTGTGTATTCAGCTTACAGAGTTTAACCTTTCTTTTGATAGAGAAGTTTTGAAACACTCTTTTTGCAGAATTTGAAAGTGTATATTTAGAGCGATTTGAGGCCAAGGGTAGAAAAGGAAATATCTTCACATAAAAACTAGACAGAAGTATTGTCAGAAACTTATTTGTGATATTTGCATTCAACGCACAGAGTTGAACATTCCTCTTGATGGAGCAGTTTTGAAACACTCTTTTTGTAGAATCTGCAAGTGGATGTTTGGACCTCTTTGTGGCCTTCGTTTGAAACGTGATTTCTTCATTTACAAGTAGACAGAAGAATTCTCAGAAACTTCTTTGTGGTGTGTACCTTCAACGCACAGAGTTGAAGCTTCCTTTCAATAGAGCACTTTTGAAACTCAGTTTTTGTAGAATTTCCAGGTGGATATTTAGCGCCGTTTGAGGCCTATGGTAGAAAAGGCAATATCTTCGTAGGAAAACTAGACAGAATGATTCTCAGAAACTACTTTGTGATGTGTGGGTTCAACTCACTGAGTTTAACCTTTCTTTTGATAGACCAGTTATGAAACACTCTTTTTGTAGAATCTGCAAGTAAATATTTGGACTTTTTTGAGGCCTTCATTGGAAACGGGATTTCTTCATATAAACCTTGACAGAAGAATTCTCAGAAACTTCTTTGTGATGCGTGCATTTAACTCTCAGAGTTCAACCTTCCTTTTGATAGAAGAGTGTTGAAATATTCTTTTTGTAGAATTTCCAAGTGGATATTTGGACCAATTTGTGGCCTTCGTTTGAAAAGTGATTCCTAATACAAAACAAGACAGAATAATTGTCAGAAACTTCTTTGTGATGTGTGCTTTCAACTCACAGAGTTGAACCTTCCTTTCGATAGAGCAGTTTTGAAACTCTCTTTTTGTAGAATTTCCAAGTGGATATTTAGCGCCGTTTGAGTACTATGGTAGAAAAGGCAATATCTTCATAGAAAAACTAGACAAAATGATTCTCAGAAACTACTTTGTGGTGTGTGCGTTCAAGCCACCTTGTTTAAACTTTCTTTTGATAGAGCAGGTTTGAGAAACTCTTTTTGTAGAATCTGCGAGTGAATATTTGGATTTTTTGAGGCCTTCATTGGAAACGGGTTTTCTTTATATAAAACTTGACAGAAGAATTCTCAGAAACTTCTTTGTGATGTGTGCATTCCACATACAGAGTTGAACCTTCCTTTCGATAGAGCAGTTTTGAAATACTCTTTTTGTTGAATTTCCAGGTGGATATTTAGAGTGGAATGAGGCCTGTGGTAGAAAAAGGAATACCCTCACTGATAAACTAGACAGAATCATTATCAGAAACTACTTATTGATGTGTGCATTCAGCTTAAAGAGTTTAACCTTTCTTTTGATAGAGCAGTATTGAACCCCTCTTTTTGTGGAATTTGCAAGTGTCTCTTTAGAGCGTTTTGAGGCCTACAGTAGGAAAGGAAATATCTTCACATAAAAACTAGACGGAAGTATTGTCAGAAACTTATTTGTGATATTTGCATTCAACGCACAGAGTTGAACATTCCTCTTGATAGAACAGTTTTGAAACTCTCTTTTTGTAGAATCTGCATGTGGATATTTGGACCTCTTTGTGTCCTTCGTTTGAAACGTGATTTCCTCAAATATAACTAGACAGAAGAATTCTCAGAAACTTCTTGTGAAGTGTGCTTTCAACTCACAGAGTTGAACCTTCCTTTCAATAGAGCAGTTTTGAAACTCCCATTATGTAGAATTTCCAAGTGGATGTTTATTGCCTATTGAGGCCTATGGTAGAAAAGGCAATATCTTCATTGAAAAACTAGACAGAATGATTCTCAGAAACTACTTTGTGGTGTGTGCATTCAACTCCAAGAGTTTAACCTTTCTTTTGATAGAGCAGTTTTGAAACAGCCTTTTGTAGAATCTGGAAGTGAATATTTGGAATTCTGGGAGGCCTTCGTTGGAAATGGGATTTCTTCATATAAAAGGTTACAGAAGAATTCTCAGAAACTTCTTTTTGATATGTGCATTCAACTCACAGAGTTGAACCTTCCTTTCGATATAACAGTGTTGAGATACTGTTTGTAGAATTTCCAAGTGGATATTTATAGCGGTTTGAGGCCTGTGGTAGAAAAGGGAATATCTTCATAGATAAACTAGACAGAATCACTGTCAGAAAGTGCTTTGTGATTTGTGCATTCCGCTTACAGAGTTTAAAATTCCTTTTGATAGAACAGTTTTGAAACACTCTTTTTGTGGAATTTGAAAGTTTATATTTAGAGAGCTTTGAGGCCAACTGTAGAAAAGGATTTATCTTCACATAAAAATTAGACAGAAGCATTGTCAGAAACTACAACGTGATATTTGCATTCAACTCACAGAGTTGAACGTTCCTCTTGATAGAGCAGTCTTGAAACACTGTTTTTGTAGTATTTGTGAGGGGATATTTGGACCTCTTTGTGGCCTTCGTTTCAAATGTGATTGCTTCATATCAAACTAGACAGAAGAATTCTCAGAACCTTCTTTGTGATGTGTGCTTTCAACTCACAGATTTGAACCTTCCTTTCAAAAGAGCAGTTTTGAAACTCTCTGTTTGTAGTATTTCCAAGAGGATATTTAGTGCTGTTTGAGGCCTATGGAAGAAAAGGCAATATCTTCATAGAAAAACTAGACAGAATGACTCTCAGAAACTACTTTTTGATGTGTGCATTCAACTCACCGAGTTTAACCTTTCGTTTCATAGAGCAGTTTTGAAACACTCTTTTTGTAGAATCTGAAAGTGAATAATCGGATTTTTTGGGGCCTTCTTAGGAAACGAGATTTCTTCTAATAAAACTTGATAGAAGAATTCTCAGGAACTTCTTTGTGATGTGTGCATTCAACTCACAGAGTTGAACATTGCTTTCGATAGAGCAGTTTTGAAAGGCTCTTTCTGAAGAATTTCCAAGTGGAAATTTAGAGCGGTTTGAGGCCTGTGGTAGAAAAGTAAATATCTTCATAGAAAACCCAGACAGAATAATAGTCAGAAACTACTTTGTGATGTGCGCATTCAGCTTACAGAGTTTAACCTTTCTTTTGATAAAGCAGTTTTGAAACACTCTTTTTGTGGAATTTGCAACTCTATATTCAGTGCGCTTTGAGGCCTACGGTACAAAAGGGAATATCTTCACAAAAAAAATAGAAGCAATGTCAGAAACTACTTTGTGATATTTGCATTCAACTCAAACTGTTGAACATTCCTCTTGATAGAGCAGTTTTGAAGCATCTTTTTGTAGAATCTGTAAGTGAATATTTGGACTTTTTTGAGGCCTTCCTTGGAAACGGGATTTCTTCATATAAAATTTGACAGAAGAGTTCTCAGAAACTACTTTTTGATGTGTGCATTCCACTTGCAGATTTGAACCTTCCTTTCAATAGAGCAGTTGTGAAAATCTCTTTTTGTAGTATTTTCAAGTGGATGTTTATCGCCACTTGAGGCATATAGTAGAAAAGGCAGTATGTTCATAGAAAAACTTGACAAAATGATTCTCAGAAACTACTTTGTGATGTGTGCGTTCAGCACACAGAGTTCAAACTTTCTTTTGATAGAGCAATTTTGAAACACTCTTTTTGTAGAATCTGCAAGTGAATGTTTCGGCTTTTTTGAAGCTTCCATTGGAAACGGGATTGCTTCATATAAAACTTGACAAAAGAATTCTCAGAAACTTCTTTGTGATGTGTGCATTGAACTCTCAGAGTTGAAACTTCCTTTCGATAGAGCAGTTTTGAAATACTCTTTTTTTTTTTTTGCATAATTTCCAAGTGGATATTTAGAGCGGTTTGAGGCCTGTGGTGGAAAAGGAAATATCTTCACCTAAAAACTAGACAGAAGCATTGTGAGAAACTACTTTGTGATATTTGCATTCAACTCACAGAGTCAAACATTCCTTGTGATAGAGGAGTTTTGAAACACTCTTTTTGTAGAATCTGGAAGTGGATATTTGGACCTCTTAGTGGCCTTCGTTTGAAACTTGATTTCTTCATATAAAACTAGACAGAAAATTTCTCAGAAACTTCTTTGTGATGTGTGCTTTCAACTCACGGTGTTGAACCTTCCTTTCGATAGAGCAGTTTTGAAATACTCTTTTTGTAGAATTTCCAATTGGATATTTAGAGCGGTTTGAGGCCTGTGGTAGAAAAGGAAATATCTTCATAGAAAAACTACACAGAATCATTCTCAGAAACTACTTTGTGTTGTGTGCATTCAGCTTACAGAATTTAACCTTTCTTTTGATAGAGCAGTTTTTAAACATTCCTTTTGTGGAATTTGCATGTGTATATTTAGAGCGCTTTGAGGCCTACGCTAGAAAAGGAAATATCTTCACATCAAAACTAGAGATAAATATTGTAAGAAACTACATTGTGAAAATTGTATTCAACTCACAGCGTTGAACTTCTGTCTTGATAGAGCCGTTTTGAAACACTCTTTTTGTAGAATCTGTAAGTGGTATTTGGATCTGTTTGTTTACTTCGTTTGAAACATGATTTCTTCTTATAAAACCAGACAGAAGAATTCTCCAAAACTTCTTTTTGATGTGTGCTTTCGTCTCACAGAGTTGAAACTTCCTTTCAATAGAGCAGTTTTGAAAATCTCTTTTTGTACAATTTCCAAGTGTTTAATTATTGCCGTTTGAGGCCTATGGGACAAAAGGCAATATCTTCATAGAAAAAATAGACAGAATGATTCTCAGAAACTACTTTGTGATGTGTTCGTTCAAGGCACAGAGTTTAACCTGTCTTTTGATAGAGCAGTTTTGAAATACTCTTTTTGTAGAATCTGCAAATGAATGTTTTGTCTTTTTTGAGGCCTTCGTTGGAAACGGGATTTCTTCATCTAAATCTTGACAGAACAATTCTCAGAAACTTCTCTGGGATTTGTGCATTCAACTCACATAGTTGAACCTTTCTTTCGTTAGAGCAGTTTTGAAATACTCTTTTGTAGATTTTCAAGTGGATAATTAGAGGGCTTTGAGGCCTATGTTAGAAAAAGCAATATCTTCATAGAAAAAGTAGACAGAATGATTCTCAGAAACTACTTTGAGATGTGTGCGTTCAACTCACAGAGTTTAACCTTATTTGTTGATAGATCAGATTTGAAAAACACTTTTTGCAGAATCTGCAAGTGAATATTTGGACTTTTTTGAGGTCCGCTTTTGAAAGGGGATTTCTTCATATAAAACCGACAGAAGAACTCTCAGAAACTTCCTAGTGATATCTCCATTGAACTCACAGAGTTGAACCTTCCTTTCGATAGAGCAGTTTTGAAATGCTCTTTTTATAGAATTTCCAAGAGGATATTTAGAGCGGTTTGAGACCAGTTGTAGAAAAGGAAATATCTTCATAGAAAAACTAGACAGAATCATTCTCAGAAACTACTTTGTGATGGGTGCATTCAGCTTACAGAGTTTAACCTTTTTTTTGATAGAGCAGTTTTGAAACACTCTTTTTGTGGAATTTCCAAGTGTATATTTAGAGTGCTTTGAGGCCTGCAGTACAAAGGCAATTATCTTCACATAAAAACCAGACAAAATCATTGTCAGAGACTACGAAGTGATATTTGCATTCAACTCACAGAGTTGAACATTCCTCTTGATTGAGCGGTTTTGAAACACTCTTTTTATAGAATCTGCGAGTGGATATTTGCACCTATTTGTGGCCTTAGTTTGAAACGTGTTTTCTTCATATAAAACTAGACAGAAGATTTCTCAGAATCTTCTTTGTGATGTGTGCTTTCAACTCACATAGTTGAACCTTCCTTTTGATAGAGCAGTTTTGAAACTCTCTTTTTGTAGTAATTCCAAGTGAATGTTTAGCGCTGTTTGAGGCCTATGGTAGAAAAGGCAATATCTTCATAGAAAAAGTTGACAGAATGATTCTCAGAAAGTACCTTCCAATGTGTGTGTTCAAGACACAAAGTTTAACTTTTCTTTTGATATAGAAGTTTTGAATCTCTCTTTTTGTAGAATCTGCAATGAAAAATTTGACTTTTGGGGGGCCTTCGTTGGAATCGGCTTTTCTTCATATAAAACGTGACAGAAGAATTCTCAGAAATTACTTTGTGATGTGTGCATTCAACTCACAGGGTTGAATCTTCTTTCGATAAAGCAGTTTTGACATACTCTTTTTGTAGAATTTCCAAACGAATATTTAGAGCGGTTTGAGACCTTTGTTATAAAAGGAAATATCTTCATAGAAAAACTACACAGAATCGTACTCAGAAACTCCTTTGTGATGTGTGCATTCAGCTTAAAGAGTTTTACCTTTCTTTTGAGAGAGCAGCTTTGAAACCCTCTTTTTGTGGAATTTCCTAGTGCATATTTTGAGCGCTGTGAGGCATGCAGTAGAAAAGGAAATATCTTCACATAACAACTAGATAGAATTATTGTCAGAAATTACATTGTGATATTTGCATTCAACTCACAGAGTTGAACATTTCTCTTGATAGAGCAATTTTGAAACACTCTTTTTGAAGAATCTGCAAGTGGATGTTTGGACCTCTTAGTGGCCTTCGTTTGAAACATGATTTCTTCATATAAAACTAGACAGAAGAATTCTCAGAAGCTTCTTTGTGATGTGTGCATTCAACACACAGGGTTTAACCTTTCTTTTGATAGAGCAATTTTGAAACACTCTTTTTGTAGAATTTGCCAGTGAATACTTGGACTGTTTTGAGGCCATCGTTGGAAACGGGATTTCTTCATATAAAATTTGACAGAAGAATTCTCGGGAACTACTTTGAGATGTGTGCATTCAAGTCACAGAGTTGAACCTTCCTTTCAATAGAGCAGTTTTGAATTACTCTTTTTGTAGAATTTCCAAGTGAATATTTTGTGCGGTCTGTGGCCTGTGGTAGAAAAGGAAATATCTGCATAAAAAACCTAGACAGAATCATTGTCAGAAACTACTTTGTGATGTGTGCATTCATCTTTCAGAGTTTCACCTATCTTTTGATAGAGCAGCTCTGAAATACTCTTTGTGTGTAATTTGCAACTGTATATTTAGAGTGCTTTGAGGTCTACGGTAGAAAAGGAAATATCTTCCCATAAAAACTTGACAGAAGCATTGTCAGAAACTAATTTGTGATATTTGTATTCATCTCACAGAATTGACAATTCCTCTTGATAGAACAGTTTTGAAACACTCTTTTTGTAGAATCTGCAATTGGATATTTGGACCTCTTTGTGGCCTTCATTTGAAACGTGATTTCTTCATATAAAACTAGATAAAAGAATTCTCAGAAACTTCTTTGTGATGTGTGCTTTCAACTCACAGAGTTGAACCTACCTTTCGAAAGAGCAGTTTTGAAACTCTCTTTTTGTAGAATTTCCAAGTGGATATTTAGCGCCGTTTGACGCCTATGGTAGAAAAGGCAGTATGTTCATACAAAAACTAGACAGAATGATTCTCAGAAACTACTTTGTGATGTGTGTGTTCAACTCACAGAGTTTAACCTTTCTTTTGATTGAGTAGTTTTGAAACAATCTTTTGTAGAATCTGCAATGTATATTTGGACTTTTGTGAGGTCCTCGCTGGAAACGGGATTTCTTCATATAAAACTTGACAGAAGAATTCTCAGGAACTTCTTTGTGATGTGTGCATTCAACTCACAAAGTTGAAGCTTCCTTTCAATAGAACAGTTTTGAAATACTATTTTTGTAGAATTTCCAAGAGGATATTTAGAGCGATTTGACGCCTGTGGCAGAAAAGGAAATATCTTCAAAGAAAACCTAGACAGAATCATTCTCAGAAACTACTTTGTGATATGTACATTCAGCTTACAGAGTTTAACCTTTCTTTCGACAGAGCAGTTTTGAAACACTCTTCTTGTGGAATTTGCAAGGGTATATTTAGAGCGCTTTGAGGCCTACGGTAGAAAAGGAAATATCTTCACATAAAACCTAGACAGAAGCATTGTCAGAAACGACTTTGTGATATTTGCATTCAACTTACAGAGTTGAACATTCCTCTTGTTAGAGCAGTTTTGAAACACTGTTTTTGAAGTTTCTGCAAGTGGATATTTGGACCTGTTTGTGGCCTTCGTTTGAAACGTGATTTCTTCATATAAAACTAGACAGAAGAATTATCAGAAACTTCTTTGCAATGTGTGCTTTCAACTCATAGAGTTGAACCTTCTTTTCTATAGAGCAGTTTTGAAACTCTCTTTTTGTAGAATTTCCAAGTGGATATTTAACGCCGTTTGAGGCCTGTGGTTGAAAAGGAATTATATTCATAGAAAAACTAGACAGAATGATTTCCAGAAACTATATTCTGATGTGCGCATTCAACTCACAGAGCTGAAGCTACCTTTCGATAGAGCCGTTTTCATAAACTCTTTTTGGAGAATTTCCAATTGGATATTTAGAGGGTTTGAGGCCTATGGTAGAAAAGGAAATATCTTCACAGAAAAACTAGACAGAATGATTCTCAGAAACTACTTTGTGATGTGTGCATTCAACTCACTGAGTTTAAACTTTCTTTTGATAGAGCAGTTTTGAAACACTCTTTTTGTAGAATCTGCAGGTGAATATTTGGATTTTTGGATGTCTTCGTTGGAAACGGGATTTCATCATATAAAACCTGACAGAAGAACTCTCAGAAACTTCTTTGTGATGTGTGCATTCCACTCACAGAGTTGAACCTTCCTTTCGATAGAGCAGTTTTGAAATATTCTTTTTGTATAATTTCCAAGTGTATATTTAGGGCGGTTTGACGTCTGCGGTAGAAAAGGAAATACTTTCATAGAAAACCTAGACAGAATAATTCTCAGCAACTAGTTTGTGCTATGTGCATTCAGTTTATAGAGTTTAACTTTCTTTTGATAGAGCAGTTTTGAAACACTCTTTTTGTGGAATTTGCAAGAGTATATTAAGATCTCTTTGAGGCATACGGCAGAAAAAGCAATATCTTCACATGAAATCAAAACGGAAGCATAGTCAGAAACTACTTTGTGATATTTGCATTCAACAACTCACCGAGTTGAACATTCCTCTTGATAGAGCAGTTTTGAAACACTCTTTTTGTGGAGTCTGCAAGTGGATATTTGGACCTCTTTGGGGCCTTCGTTTTGAACGTGATTTCTTCATATGAATCTGGACAGAAGAATTCTCAGAAACTAGTTTGTGATGTGTGCATTCAAGTCACAGAGTTGTATCTACCTTTCGATAGAGCAGTTTTGAAACTCTCTTTTTGTAGAATTTCCAAGTGGATATTTAGAGCCGTTTGAGGCCTACGGTACGAAAGGCAATATCTTCAGAGAAAAATTAGACAGAATGATTCTCAGAAACAACTTTGTGATGTGTGCGTTCAACTCACAGAGTTTAACATTTCTTTTGATAAAGCAGTCTTGAAACACTCTTTTTGTATAATCTGCAGGTGAATATTTGGACTTTACTGAGGCCTTCGTTGGAAACGGGATTTTTTCATATAAAACCTGACAGAAGAATTCTCAGAAACTTCTTTGTGATGTGTGCATTCAGCTTACAGAATCGGAACTTCTTTTGATAGAGCAGTTTTGAAACCCTTTTTCTGTGGAAAATGCAAGCGTTTATTTAGAGCGCTTCTAGGCCTATTGTATAAAAGGAAATATCTTCACATAAAAACTAGACAGAAACGTTGTCAGAAACTACTTTGCGATATTTGCATTCAACTCACAGAGATGAACATTCCACTTGTTAGAGGAGTTTTGAGACACTCTTTTTGTAGAATCTGCAAGGGGATATTTAGTCCTCTTTGGAGCCTTCTTTTGAAACGTGATTTCTTCATATAAAACTAGACAGAAGAATTCTCAGAAACTTCTTTGTGATGTGTGCTTTCAAATCACTGAGTTGCACCTTCCTTTAGATAGAGGAGTTTTGAAACACTATTTTGTAGATTTTCCAAGTGGATATTTAGCCCTGTTTCAGTCCTATGGTAGAAAAGGCAATATTTTCAAAGAAAAAATAGGCAGAAAGATTCTCAGAAATTACTTTGTGATGTGTGCGTTTAACCCACAGGGTTTAACCTTTCTTTTGATAGACCCCTTTTGAAATAGTCTTTTTGTAGAATTTTCAAGTGTATATTTAGAGTGGCTTGAGGCCTGTGGTAGAAAAGGAAATATCTTCATAGAAAAAATAGAGAGAATGATTCTGAGAAACTACTTTGTGACGTGTGCGTTCAACTCACAGAGTTTAACATTTCGTTTGATAGAGCAGTTTTGAAACACTCTTTCTGTAGGTTCTGCAAGTGAATATTTGGACTTTCTTGAGGCCTTCGTTGGAAACATGTTTTCTTCATATAAATCTTGACAAAAGAAATCTCAGCATCTTCTTTGTGATGTGTGCATTCAACTCACATTGTTGAACCTTCCTTTCAATAGAGCAGTTTTGAAATATTATTTTTGTAGGATTTCCACGTGGATATTTAGAGCGGTTTGAGGCCTGTGGTAGAAAAGATAATATCTTCATAGGAAAACTAGACAGAACCATTCTCAGAAACTACTTTTTGATGTGTGCATTCAGCTTACAGAGTTTAACTTTTGTTTTGATAGAACAGATTTGTAACACTCTTGTTGTGGAATTTGAACTCTCTTTTTGTAGTGTTTCCAAGTGGATATTTAGCACGGTTTGTGGCCTATGGAAGAAAAGGCAATATCTTCATAGAAAAATGAGACACAATGATTTTCAGAAACTATTTTGTGATGTGTGCGTTCAACTCACAGAGTTTGAACTTTCTTTTGATAGAGCAGTTTTGAAACACTACTTTTGTGGAATTTGCAAGTGTATATTTAGAGTGCTTTGAGGCCTATTGTCGAAAAGGAAATATCTTCACATAAAAACTAGACAGAAGGATTGTCAGAAACTACATTGTGATATTTGCATTCAACCCACAGAGTTGAACATTGCTCTTGATAGAGCAGTTTTGAAACCCTCTTTTTGTAGAGTCTGCAATTGGATATTTGAACCTGTTTGAGGCCTTCGTTTTAAACGAGATTTCTTCATATCAACTAGACAGAAGAATTCTCAGAAACTTCTTTGTGATGTGTGGATTGAACTCATAGAGTTGAACCTTCCTTTCTATAGAGCAGTTTTAAAACTCTCTTTTTGTAGAATTTCCAAGTGGATATTTAGCGCCCTTTGAGGCCTAAGGTAGAAAAGGGAATATCTTCATAGAAAAACTAGACAGAAAGATTCTCAGAAACTACTTTTTGATGTGAGCGTTCAACTCACAGAGTTTAACCTTTCTTTTGATAGAGGAGTTTTGAAACACTCTTTTTGTAGAATCTGCAAGTGAATATTTGGACGTTATTGAGAACTACGTTGGAAATGGGATTTCTTCATATTAAAATTGACAGAAGAATTCTCAGAAACTTCTTTGCGATGTGTGCATTCAATTCACAGAGTTCAACCTATCTTTTGATAGAGCAGTTTTGAAATACTCTTTTTGTAGAATTTCCAAGTGGAGACTTAGAGCGGTTAGAGGCCTATGGTAGATATGGAAATATCTTCATAGAAAAACTAGACAGAATGATTCTCAGAAACCACATTGTGATGTTTGCATTCAGCTTACAGGGTTTAAGCTTTCTTTTGATAGAGCAGTTGTGAAACACTCTTTTTGGGGAATTTGCAAGAGTTTATTTAAAGCGCTTTGAGAACTGCGGTACAAAATTAAATATCTTCACATGAAAACTATACAGATGCATTGTCAGAAACTACTTTTTGATATTTGCATTCAACTCACCGAGTTGAACATTCCACTTGATAGAGCAGTTTTTAAACACTCTTTTTGTGGAATCTGCAAGTGGATACTTACACCTCTTTGTGGCATTCTTTTGAAAGGTGATTTCTCCATATAAAACTAGACAGAAGAATTCTCAGAAACTTCTTTGTTATGTGTGATTTCAACTCACAGAATTGAAACTTCCTTACAATAGAAGGAGTTTTGAAAGTCTCTTTTTGTAGAATTTCCAACTGGATATTTAGCGCTGTTTCAGGCTAATGGTAGAAAAGGCAATATCGTCATAGAAAAAGTAGACAGAATGATTCTCAGAAACTGCTTTGTGAAGTGTTCGTTCAGCTTACAAAGTTTAACCTTTCTTTTGATAGAGCAGTTTTGAAACAGTCTTTTGTGGTATTTGCAAGTGTATATTTAAAGCTTTTTGAGACCTATGGTAGAAAAGGAAATATCTTCACATAAAAACTAGACAGAAAGTTTGTCAGAAACTATTTTGTGATATATGCATTCAACTCACAGAGTTGTACATTCTTCTTGATAGAGCAGTTTTGAAACACTCTCTTTGCAGAATCCGCAAGTGGATATTTGGAACTCCTTGTGGTCTTCGTTTGAAACGTGATTTCTTCATATAAAACGTGACAGAAAAATTCTCAGAAACTTCTTTGTGTTGTGTGTATTCAACTCACAGAGTTGAACCTTCATTTCGATAGAGCAGTTTTGAAATCCTCTTTTTGTAGAATTTCCAAGTATATATTTACAGGGATTTGAGCCCTTTGGTAGAAAAGGAAATATCTATCTTCATAGAAAAACTAATCAGAATCATTCCCAGAAACTACTTTGTGATGTGTGCATTCAGCTTACAGAGTTTAACCTTTCTTTTGACAGAGCAGTTTTGAAACACACTTTTTGTGCAATTTGTAAGTGTATATTTACAGCGCTTTGAGGCCTACGGTAGAAAAGGAAATATCTTCACATATAAACTGGACAGAAGAATTGTCATAAACTACTTTGTGATATTTGCATTGAATTCACAGAGTTGAACATTACTCTTCATAGAGCAGTTTGCAAACACTCTTTTTGTAGAATCTGCAAGTTTATTTTTGGACCTCTTTGTTTCCTTCGTTTGAAAAGAGATTTCTTCATATAAAACTAGACAGAAGAATTCTCAGAAACTTCTTTGAGATGTGTGCTTTGAACTCACGGAGTTGAAGTTTCATTTTGATAGAGCAGTTTTGAAACTCTCCTTTTCTAGAATTTCCAAGTGGATATTTAGCGCCGTTTGAGGCTTATGGTTAGAAAAGGCAATATCTTCATAGAAAAACTAGACAGAATGATTCTCAGAAACTACTTTGTGATGTGGGCATTCAACTCACAGAGTTTAACCTTTCTTTTGATAGATCAGATCGGAAACACTCTTTTTGTAGAATCTGCAATTGGATATTTGGAATTTTTTTAGGGCTTCGTTGGAAACAGGATTTCTTCATATAAAACCTGACAGAAGAACTCTCAGAATCTTCTTTGTGATGTTTGCATTGAACTCACAGAGTTGAACATTCCTTTGGATAGAGCAGTTTTGAAATACTCTTTTTGTAGAATTTCCAAGTGGATATTTAGAGCAGTTTGAGGCCAGTTGTAGAAAAGGAAATATCTTCATAGAAGAACTAGACAGAATCATTCTCAGAAACTACTTTGTGATGTGTGCATTCAGCTTACAGAGTTTCACCTTTCTTTTGATAGAGCAGTTTTGAAACACTCTTTTTGTGGAATTTGAAAGTGTATTATTAGAATGCTTTGAGGCCTATGGTAGAAAAGGAAATATGTTCACATAAAAACTAGAGAGAAACATTGTCATAAACTACTTTGTGATATTTGCATTCAACTCACAGAGTTGAACATTCCTCTTGATAGAGCAGTTTTGAAAGAATCTTTTTGTACAATCTGCAAGTGAATATTTGGACTTTTTTGAGGCCTTCTTTGGAAACGGGATTTCTTCATAAAAAACCTGACAGAACTCTCAGAATCTTCTTTGTGATCTCTGCATTCAACTCACAGAGTTGAACTATCCTTCCGGTAGAACAGTGTTAGAAATTCTCTTATTGCTGAATCTCCATGTGGATATTTAGCGTCTTTTGAGGCCTATGGTAGAAAAGGCAATATCTTCATAGAAAACCTAGACGTAATGATTCTCAGAAACTACTTTGTGATGTGTGCGTTCAACTAACAGAGTTTAACTTTTCTTTTGATAGAGCAGTTAAGAAACACAGTTTTTGTTGTCTCTGCAAGTGAATATTTGGACTTTTGGGGGACTTCGTTGGAAATGGGATTTCTTCATATGAAACGTGAGAGAAGAATTCTCAGAAACTCCTTTGTGATGTGTGCATTCAACTCAAAGAGTTGAACCTTCCTTTCGATAGAGCAGTTTTGAAACACTCCTTTTGTGGAATTTGCAAGTGTATATTTAGAGCGCTTTGAGGCCTATGGTAGAAAAGTAAATATCTTCACATAAAAACCAGATAGAAGCATTGTCAGAAACTCCTTTGTGATGTGTGCATTCTACTCACAGAGTTGAACATTCCTTTCGATAGAGCAGTTTTGAAATACTCTTTTTGTAGAATTTCCAAGTGGATAATTAGAACGGTTTGAGGCCTATTGTGGAAAGGGAAATATCTTCATAGAAAACTAGACAGAATCATTCTCAGAAACTGCTTTCTGATATTTGCATTCAACTCACTGAGTTGAACATTCGTCTTGATAGAGCAGTTTTGAAACACTCTTGTTGTAGAATCTGCAACTGGATATTTGGACTTCTTTGTGGCCTTCGTTTGAAACTTGATTTCTTCGTATAAAACGTGGCAGAAGAATTCTCAGAAACTTCTTTGTGATGTGTGCATTCAACTCACGGTGTTGAACCATCCTTTCGATAGAGCAGTTTTGAAATACTCTTTTTGTAGATTTTCCAAGTGGAAATTTTGTGCCCTTTGAGGCCCTAGGTATTAAAGACAATATCTTCATAGAAAAATTAGACAGAATGATTCTCAGAAACTACTTTGTGATGTGTGCATTCAGATTACAGAGTCTAACCATTCTTTTGATAGAGCAGTTTTGAAACACTCTTTATGAAAAATCTGCAAGTGGATATTTGGACCTCTTTGTGGCCTTCGTTTGAAACGTGATTTCTTCATATAAAACTAGACAGAAGAATTCTCAGAAACTTCTTTGTGATGTGTGCTTTCAACTCACACAGTTGAATCTTCCTTTCCATAGAGTAGTTTTGAAACACTCTTTTTGTAGAATTTCCAAGTGGATATTTAGCGCCATTTGAGGCATATGGTACAAAAGGAAATATCTTCATAGAAAAACTAGGTAGAATGATTCTCAGAAACTACTTTGCGAAGTGTGCGTTCAACTCGCAGATTTTGACCTTTGTTTTGATAGAGCACTTTTGAAACACTCTTTTTGTAGAATCTGCAAGTGAATATTTGGGCTTCTTTGAGGCCTTCGTTGGAAACGGGATTTCTTCATATAAAACTTCACAGAAGATTTCTCAGAAATTTTTTGAAGTGTGCTTTTAACTCCCAGAGGTGAAACTTCCTTTCGATAGAGCAGTTTTAACACTCTCTTTTTGTAGAAATTCAAAGTGGATACTTAGAGCGGTTTCAGGCGTAAGGTAGAATAGGAAATATGTTCATAGAAAAACTAGACAGAATTATTCTCAGAAACTACTTTGTGATGTGTGCATTCAGCTTACAGAGTTTAACCTTTCTTTTGAGAGAGCAGTTTTGAAACACTCTTTTTTTAGAATCCGCAAGTGAATATTTGGACTTTTTTGAGGCCTATGTTGGAAACGGGATTTCTTCATATAAAAGTTGACAGAAGAATTCTCAGAAACTTCTATGTGATGTGTGCATTCAAGTCCCAGAATTGAACCTTCCTTTCAATAGAGCAGTTTTGAAATACACTTTTTGCAGAATTTCCAAGTGGATATTTAGAGCGGTTTGAGGCCTGTTGTAGAAAAGGAAATATCTTCATAGAAAAACTAGACAGAACCATTATCAGAAACTATTTTGTGATGTGTGCATTCAGTTTACATAGTTTAGCCTCTCTTTTGATAGAGCAGTTTTGAAACACTGTTTTTGTGGAATTTGCAAGTGTATATTTAGAGTGCTGCGAGACCTACGGTAGAAAAGGAAATATCTTCACAGAAAAACTAGACAGAAGCATTCTCAGAAACTCCTTTGTATTGTTTGCATTCAACTCACAGAGGTGAGCATTCCTCTTGATACAGCAGTTTTTAAACACAATTTTTGTACTATCTGCAAGTGGATATTTGGACCTCTTTGAGGCCTTCGTTGGAAAAGGTATTTCTTCATATAAACAAGACAGTAGAATTCTCGGAAATTACTTTGTGGTGTCTGCATTCATCTCACAGAGTTGAACCTTCCTATCGGTAGAGCAGTTTTGAAATACTCTTTATGTAGAATTTCCAAGTGGAGATTTAGAGCGGTTTGAGGCCTATCGTAGAAAAGGAAATCTCTTCATAGAAAAACTAGACAGAATCATTCTCAGAAACTATTTTGTCATGTGTGCATTCACCTTACAGAGTTTAACCTTTCTTTTGATAGAGCTCTTTTGTAGAATTTGCAAATGTGTGTTTAGAGCGCTTTGAGACCTATGGTAGAAAAAGAAATATCTTCTCATAAATACTAGATAGAAGCATTCTCAGAAACTGCTTTGTGATGTTTGCATTCAACTCACAGAGTTGAACACTCCTCTTTATAAAGCAGTTTTGAAACACCCTTTTTGGAGAATCTGGAAGTGGATATTTGGACCTCTTTGAGGCATTCATTGGAACGGGATTTCTTCATATAAAACTAGACAGAAGAATTCTGAGGAAATTCTTTGTGATGTGTGCATTCAACTCACCGAGTTAAACTTTCCTTTTGATAGAGCAGTTTCGAAACACTTTTTGAATTATTTCTAAGTGGATATTTAGAGAGGTTTGAATCGCATGGTAGAAAAGGAAATATCTTCATATAAAAAGTGGACAGAATCATTCCCAGAAACTACTTTGTGATGTGTTCGTTCAAATCACGGAGTTTAAACTTTCTTTTGATAGAGCAGTTTTGAAACACTCTGTAAAGTCTGCATCTGGATAATTGGAGCGCTTTGAGGTTTTCTTTGGAAATGGGTATATCTTCACATAAGAAGTACACAGAAGTATTCTCAGAAACTTCTTTGTGATGTCTGTACTCAACTCACAGCGGTGAACTTTACTTTTGGTAGAGCAGTTTTGAAACACTCTTTTTGAGAATTTGCAAGTGGATATTGAGAGCGCTTTGAGGCCTATGGTAGAAAAGGAAATATCTTCACATAAAAACTAGACAGAAGCATTCTCAGAAACCACTTTTTGATGTTTGCATTCAACTCACAGAGTTGAACATTCCTTTTGATAGAGCAGTTTTGTAACACTCTTTTTGTAGAATCTGCAAGTGGTTATTTGGACCTCTTTGAGGCCTTCGTTTGAACCTGGTATTTCTTCTTAAAAAAAAACAGAGAGAAGAATTCTCAGAAGCTTCTTTGTGATGTGTGCATTCAACTCACGGAGTTGAACGACCTTTCAATAGAGTAGTTTTGAAACACTCTTTTTGTAGAATTTCCAAGTGGATATTTAGGGTGCTTAGAGGCCTATGGTAGAAAACGATATACTTTAATATAAAAACCAGACAGAATCATCCTCAGAAACTACTTTGTGATGTGTGTATTCAACACACTGAGTTTAAATTTTCTTTTGATAGAGCAGTTTTGAAACAGACTTTTTGTAGAATTTGCAAGTGTGAATTTAGAGTGCTTTGAGAACTATGGTAGAAAAGAAATATCTTCACATAAATACTACAGAGAAGCATTGTCAGAAACTACTTTGTGTTGTTTGCATTCAACTCACAGAGTTGAACATTCCTCTTGATAGAGCAGTTTTGAAACACTCTTTTTGAAGAATCTGAAGGAGGATACTTGGACCTCATTGAGGCCTTCTTTGGAATCGGATTTTCTTCATATAAAAATAGTCTGAAGAATTCTCAGAAACTTCTTTTTGATGTGTACATTCAACTCACATATTTGAACCTTCCTTTGATAGAGCATATTTGAAACACTCTTTTTGTAGAATTTCAAAGTGGATATTTAGAACGCTTTGAATCCTATATTAGAAAAGGAAATACCTTCATATAAAAACTAGTCAGAAGAATTCCCCGAAACATCTTTTTGATGTGTGCATTCAACTCACATAGTTGAACCTCCTTTTTCATAGATCAGATTTGAAACTCTCTTTTTGTAGTATTTCCAAGTGGATATTTAGAGCGCCTTGAATCCTAAGGGAGAAAAGGAAATATCTTCATATAAAAACTAGAGAGAATCATTCCCAGAAACTAATTTGTGATGTGTGCGTTCAACTTACAGAGTTTAACCTTTCTTTTGACAGAGCAGTTTGGAAACACTCTGTTTTTAAAGTCTGGAACTGGATATTTGGAGCGCATTGAGGTTTTCTTTGGAAACGGGGATATCTTCACATAAAAAGTAGACAGATGTACTCTTAGAAACATTTTGCGATGTCTGTATTCAACTCACAAAGGTGAACATTCCTTTTGACAGAGCAGTTTTGAAACATTCTTTGTAGAGTTTGCAAGAGGATATTTAGAGCGATATGACGCCTATTGTGGAAAAGGAAATATCTTCACATAAAAACTAGACAGAAGCATTCTCAGAAACTACATTGCGATGTTTGCATTCAACTCACGAATTTGAACATTCCTCTTTATTGAGCATTCTTGAAACACTCTTTTAGTGGGATTTGCAAGTGTATATTTGGATCTCTTTGAGGCCTTCCTTGGAAAAGGGATTTCTTCATATAAATTAGACAGAGGACTTCTCAGAAACTTCTCTGTGATGTTTGCATTCAACTCACAGTGTTGAAACTTCCTTTTGATAGAGCAGATTTCAGACACTCTTTTTGTAGAATTTCCAAGTGAATATTTAGAGGGCTTTAAATCCTATGGTAGAAAATGAAATACCTTCATATAAAAACTAGACAGAATCATTCCCAGAAACTACTTTGTGATGTATGCATTCAACTCACAGATTTGAACCTTTCTTTTGATGGAGCAGATTTGAAACACTCTTTTTGTTGAATTTCCACGTGGATATTTAGAGCGCTTTGAATCCTATGGTAGAAAAGGAAATATCTTCATATAAATACTAGAAATAATCATTCCCAGTAACTACTTTGTGATGTGTGCATTCAACTCAAAGAGTTTAACCTTTCTTTTGATAGAGCAGTTTTGAAACACCCTGTTTGTAATCTCTGCATCTGGATATTTGGAGCGCTTTGAGGGTTTCTTTGGAAACGGGAATATCTTCACATAAAAAGTAGACAGAAGTATTCTCAGAAACTTCTTTGTTATGTCTGTACTCAACTCACAGAAGTGAAACCTCCTTTTGATAGAGAAGTTTTGAAACACTCTTTTTGTAGAGTTTGCAAGTGGATATTTAGAGCGCTTTGGGGCCTATGGTAGAAAAGGAAATATCTTCACAGAAAAACTAGACAGAAGCATTCTCAGAAACTACTTTGTGATGTTTGCCTTCAACACACAGAGTTGAACATTCCTTTTGATAGAGCAGTTTGTAACACTCTTTTTGTAGAATCTGAAATTGGATATTTGGACCTCTTTGTGGTCTTCGTTGGAAACGTGATTTCTTCATATAAAACTAGACAGAAGAATTCTCAGAAGCTTCTTTGTGATGTGTGCATTCAACTCACAGAGTTGAACGTTCCTTTCAATAGAGCAGTTTTGAAACACTCTTTTTGTAGAATATCCAAGTGGATATTTAGGGCTTTTAGGCCTATATTTTAGGCCTATATTATATTATAGGCTTTTAGGCCTATAGTATAAAAGGTAATATCATCATATAAGCACTTGACATAATCATAATCAGAAAGTACTTTATGATGTGTGCATTCAACTCACTGAGTATAAACTTTCTTTTGATAGAGCAGTTTTGAAACACTCTTTTTGTTGAATTTGCAAGTGTGTATTTAGAGCACTTTGAGGCCTATGGTAGAAAACGATATATCTTCACATAAAAAGTACACAGAAGCATTCTCAGATAGAGCAGTTTTGAAACACTCTTTTTGTAGAGTTTGCAAGTGGATATTTAGAGTGCTTTGAGGCCTATTGTAGGAAAGAATATATCTTCATATAAAAACTAGACAGAAGCATTCTCAGAAACTACTTTGTGATGTTTGCATTCAACTCACGGAGTTGAACTTTCCTCTTGATAGAGCAGTTTTGAAACACTCTTTTTGTAGAATCTGACGGTGGATATTTGAACCTCTTTGAGGCCTTCATTGGAAATGGGATTTCTTCATTTAAAACTAGACAGAAGAATTCTCAGAAACTTCTTTGTGAAGTGTGCGTTCAACTCACAGAGTTAATCCTTCTTTTGATAGATCAGATTTGAAACACTGTTTTTGCAGTATTTCCAAGTGGATATTTAGAGTGCTTTGAAACCTATGGTTGAAAAGGTTATATCTTCATAGAAACTGGACAGAATCTTTCCTAGTAACTACTTTGTGATGTGAGCGTTCAACTCACAGAGTTTAACCTTTCTTTTGATAGAACAGTTTTATATTTATTTATTTATGCATTTTTTATTATTATACTTTAAGTTTTAAGGTACATGTGCACATTGTGCATGTTAGTTACATATCTATACATGTGTCATGCTGGTGTGCTGCACTCACTAGCTCATCATCTAGCATTAGGTATATCTCCCAATGCTATCCCTCCCCCCTTGCCCCACCCCACAACAGTCCCCAGAGTGTGAAGTTCCCCTTCCTGTGTCCATGTGATCTCATTGTTCAATTCCCACCTATGAGTGAGAATATGTGGTGTTTGGTTTTTTGTTCTTGTGATAGTTTACTGAGAATGATGGTTTCCAATTTCATCCATGTCCCTACAAAGGACATGAATGAATCATTTTTTGTGGCTGCTTAGTATTCCAGGGTGTACATGTGCCACATTTTCTTAATCCAGTATATCATTGTTGGACATTTGGGTTGGTTCCAAGTCTTTGCTCTTGTGAATAATGCCACAATAAACATACGTGTGCATGTGTCTTTATAGCAGCATGATTTATAGTCCTTTGGGTATATACCCAGTAATGGGATGGCTGAGTCAAATGGTATTTCTAGTTCTAAATCCCTGAGGAATCGCCACACTGACTTCCACAATGGTTGAACTAGTTTACAGTCCCACCAACAGTGTAAACATGTTCCTATTTCTCCACATCCTCTCCAGCATCTGTTGTTTCCTGACTTTTTAATGATTGCCATTCTAACTGGTGTGAGATGGTATCTCATTGTGGTTTTGATTTACATTTCTCTGATGGCCAGTGATGGTGAGCATTTTTTCCTGTGTTTTTCGGCTGCATGAATGTCTTCTTTTGAGAAGTGTCTGTTCATGTCCTTCACCCACCTTTTGACGAGGTTGTTTGTTTTTTTTCTTGTACATTTGTTTGAGTTCAGTGTAGATTCTTGATATTAACCTTTTGTCAGATGAGTATGTTGCGAAAATTTTCTCCCATTTTGTAGGTTGCCTGTTCACTCTGATGGTAGTTTCTTTTGCTGTGCAAAAGAGCCCGCATCACCAACTCAATCCTAAGCCAAAAGAACAAAGCTGGAGGCATCACACTACCTGACTTCAAACTATACTAAAAGGCTGCAGTAACCAAAACAGCATGGTACTGGTACCAAAACAGAGATATAGATCAATGGAACAGAACAGAGCCCTCAGAAATAATGCCACATATCTACAACTATCTGATCTTTGACAAACCTGAGAAAAACAAGCAATGGGGAAAGGATTCCCTATTTAATAAATGGTGCTGGGAAAACTGGCTAGCCATATGTAGAAAGCTGAAACTGGATCCGTTCCTTACACCTTATACAAAAATCAATTCAAGACGGATTAAAGACTTAAACGTTAGACCTAAAACCATAAAAACCCTAGAAGAAAACCTAGGCATTACCATTCAGGATATAGGCAAGGACAAGGACTTCATGTCTAAAACACCAAAAGTAATGGCAACAAAAGACAAAATTGACAAATGGGATCTAATTAAACTAAAGATAGAGCAGTTTTGAAACACTCTCTTTGTAAAGTCTGCATCTGGATACTTGGAGCTGTTTGAAGTGTTCTTTGGAAATGGGAATATCGTCACATAAATAGTAGATAGAAGTATTCTCAGAATTTTCTTTGTGATGTCTGTACTCAACTCACAGAGTTGAATCTTCCTTTTGATAGAGCAGATTTGAAACACACTTTTTGTAGGGTTTGCTAGTGGATGTTTTGAGCTCTTTGAGGCCTATGGTAGAAAAGGAAATATCTTCGTAGAAAAACTACACAGAAGCATTCTCAGAAACTACATTGTGATACTTGCTTTCAACTCACTGAATTGAACATTACTCTTGATAGAGCAGTTTTGAAATACTCTTTTTGTAGAATCTGCAAGTTGATATTTGGACTTCTTTGAGGCCTTCGCTGGAAACAGGATTTCTTCACATAAAACTAGACACAAGAATTCTCAGAAACTTCTTTGTGATGTGTGCATTCAACTCACAGTGTTGAATCTTCCTTTAATAGAACAGATTTAAAACACTCTTTTTGCAGAGTTTCCAAGTGGATATTTAGAGCGCTTTGAACCATATGGTAGAAAAAATTATCTTCATATAAATCTAGACAGAATAACTCCTAGAAACTACTTTGTGATGTGTGTGTTCACATCACAGAGTTTAACCTTTCTTTTGATGGAGCAGTTTTGAAACACTCTGTTTGTAAACTGTGCATCTGGATATTTGGAGCACTTTGAAGTTTTCTTTGGAAACGGGAATATCTGCACATAAAAAGTGGACAGAAGTATTCTCAGAAAATTCTTTGTGATGTCTGTACTCAACTCACAGAGGTGAACCTTCATTTGATAGTGCAGTTTTGTAACACCCTTTTGTAGTGTTTGCAAGTGGATATTTAGATCACTTCGAGGCCTACGGTAGAAAAGGAAATATCTTCACATAAAAACTAGACAGAAGCATTCTCAGAAACTGCTTTGTGATGTTTGCATTCACCTCGCGGAGTTGAACATTCCTCTTGATAGAGCAGTTTTGAAACACTCTTTTTGTAGTTTCTGCAAGTGTATGTTTGGAACTCTTTGAGGCCTTCAGTGGAAACAGGATTTCTTCGTATAAAACTAGACAGAAGAATTCTCAGAAAATTCTTTGGGATGTGTGGATTCAACTCTCAGAGTGCAACCTTCCTTTTGATAGAGCAGATTTGAAACACTCTTTTTGTAGAATTTCCAAGTGGATGTTTAGAGCGCTTTGAATCCTATGGTAGAAAAGGAAATATCTTCATATAAAAACTTGACAGAAGCATTGTCAGAATCTACTTTGTGATATTTGCATTCAACTCACAGAGTTGAACGTTCCTCTTGATGGAGCAGTTTTGAAACACTCTTTTTTGTTGAATGTGCCAATTAATATTTTTACATATTTGAGGCCTTTGTTGGAAACGGGTTTTCTTCTTTTAAAACTTGACAGAAGAATTCTCAGAAAGTTCTTTCTGATGTGTGCATTGAACTCACAGAGTTAAAACTTCCTTTCGATAGAGCAGTTTTAAAATACTCTTTTTGTAGAATTTCCAAGTGTATATTTAGAGCGGTTTGAGGCCTATGGCAGAAAATTAAATATCTTCATAGAAAAACTAGACAGAATCATTCTCAGAAACTACTTTGTGATGTTTGCATTAAGCTTACAGAGTTTAACCTTTCTTATGATAGAGCAGTTTTGAAACACTCTTTTTGTAATATCTGCAGGTGTATATTTGGACCTCTTTGGGGCCTTCGTTTGAAACGTGATTTCTTCATATAAAACTAGACAGAAGAATTCTCAGAAACTTCTTTGTGATGTGTGCTTTCAACTCACATATTTTAACATTCCTTTCGATAAAGCAGTTTTGAAGCTCTCTTTTTGTAGAATTTCCAAGTGGATATTTAGCGCCGTTTGAGGTCTATGGTAGAAAAGGCAATATCTTCATAGAAGAACTAGACAGAATGATTCTCAGAAACTGCTTTGTGATGTGTGCATTCAACTCACTGAGTTCAAACTTTCTTTTGATAGGGCAGTTTTGAAACACACTTTTTGGAGGATCTGCAAGTGAATATTTGGACATTTTTGTGGCCTTCTTTGGAAAAGGGATTTTGTCATATAAAACTTTGCCAAAGAATTCTCAGAAACTTCTTTGTGATGAGTGCATTCATCTCACAGAGTTTAACCTTCCTTTCCATAGAGCAGTTTTGATATACTCTTTTTGTAGAATTTCAAATGCATATTTAGAGCGGTTTCAGGCTTGTGGTTGAAAAGGAAATATCTTCATAGAAAAATTAGACAGAATCATTCTCAGAAACTGCTTTGTGATGTCTGCATTCGGCTTACAGAGTTTAACTTTCTTTTGATACAGCAGTTTTCAAACACTCTTTCTGTGGAATTTGCAAGTGTATATTTAGAGCGCTTTGAGGCCTGTGGTAGAAAAGGAAATATCTTCACATAAAAACCAGAAAGAAGCATTGTCAGAAACTAATTTGTGATATTTGCATTCAACTTACAGAGCTGGACATTCCTCTTCATAGAGCAATTTTGAAACACTCTTTTTGTAGAATTTCCAAGTGGATATTTAGCGCCGTTTGAAGCCAATGGTAGAAAAGGCATTATCATCATAGAAAAATTAGACAGAATGATTATCGGAAACTACCTTGTGATGTTTGTGTTCAACTCACGGAACATGCCTTTCGAAAGAGGAGTTTTGAAACTCTCTTTCTGTCGAATGTCCAAGTGGATATTTAGGGCTGTTTGAGGCCTATGGTTGAAAAGGTAATATCTTCTTAGGAAAACTTGACATAACGATTCTCAGAAACTACTTTGTGAAGTGTGCGTTCAACTCAAACAGTTTAAACTTTCTTTTGATAGAGCACTTTTGAAACAGTGTTTTTGTAGTATCTGCAAGTGAATATTTGGACTTTTAAGAGGCCTTCGTTGGAAACGGGGTTTCTTCACATAAAACTTGACAGAAGAATTCTCAGAACCTTCTTTGTGATATGTGCATTCAACTCACAGGTTTGAACCTTCCTTTCGATAGAGCAGTTTTGAAATACTCTTTTTGTAGAAATTCCAAGTGAATATTTAGAGCGGTTTGCGGCCTATTTTGGAGAAGGACATATCTTCGTAGAAAAACAAGACAGAATCCTTCTCAGAAACTACTTTGTCCCGTGTGCATTCAGCTTACTGTGTTTAACCTTTCTTTTGATTGTGCAGTTTTGAAACACTCTTTTTGTGGAATTTTGCAAGTGTATATTTAGAGTGCTCGGCAGCCTACGTTAGAAAAGGAAATATCTTCACCTAAAACCTAGACAGAAACATTGTCAGAAACTTCTTTGTGACATTTGCATTGAACTCACAGAGTTGAACGTTCCTCTTGATAAAGCAGTTTTGAAACACTATTTTTGTAGAATCTGCACGTGCATATTTGGACCTCTTTGTGACCTTCGTTTGAAACGTGGTTTCTTCATATAAAACTAAACAGAAGAATTCTCAGAAACATCTTTGTGATGTGTGCTTTCAACTCACAGTGTTGAACCTTCCTTTCGGTAGAGCAGTTTGTAAACGCTCTTTTTGTACAATTTCCAAGTGGATATATAGTGCCGTTTGAGGCCTATGGTAGAAAAGGCAATATCTTCATAGAAAAACTAGACAGAATGATTGTCAGAAACTACTTTAAGATGTGTGCATTCATCTCACAGTGTTAAACTTTCTTTTTATAGAATAGTTTTGAAACACTCTTTTTGGAGAATCTGCAAGTGAATATTTGGAATTTTTGTGGCGTTCGTTGGTAAAGGGATTTCTTCAAATAAAACTTAACAGAAGAATTCTCAGAGACTACTTTGTGATGTGGGCATTCAACTCACAGAGTTGAACCTTCCCTTCGAGAGAGAAGTTTTGAAATACTCTTTCTGTAGAATTTCCAAGTAGATATTTAGAGCGCTTTGAGGCTTGTGATAGGAAAGGAAATATCTTCATAGGAAATATCTTCATAGGAAAACGAGACAGAATCATTCTCAGAAACTACTTTGTGATGTGTGCATTCAGCTTACAGAGTTTAACCTTTCTTTTGATTGATAGAGCAGTTTTGAAACACTCTTTTTGTGGATTTTGGAAGTGTTTATTTAGAGCCCTTTGAGGCCTATGGTAGAAAAGGATATATCTTCACGTAATAACCAGACAGAAGCATTGTCAGAAACTACTTTGGGATATTTGCATTCAACCCACAGAGTTGAAGATTTCTCTTGATAGAGCAGTTTTGAAACACTCTTTTTGTAGAATCTGCAAGTGGATATTTGAACCTCTTTGTGGCCTTCATTTCAAACCTGATTTCTTCATACAAAACTAGACAGAAGAACTCTCAGAAACTTCTTTGTGATGTGTGCTTTCAACTCATACAGTTGAACCTTTCTTTCGATAGAGCAGTTTTGAAACTCTTTTTGTAGTATTTCCAAGTGGATATTTAGCTCCATTTGAGGCCTATGCTAGAAAAGGAAATATCTTGTTAGAAAAAATAGACAGAATGATTCTGAGAAACTTCTTTGTGATGTGTGCTTACGACTCACAGAGTTTAAACTTTCTTTTGATAGAGCTTTTTTGAAACAGTCTTTTTGTAGAATCTGGAAGTGAATATTTGTACTTTTTGGAGGCCTTCTTTGGAAACGGGATTTCTTCACAGAAAACTTGAGAGAAGAACTCTCAGAAACTTCTTTGTGATCTGTGCATTCAATTCACAGAGGTCAACGTTCCTTTTGATAGAGCAGTTTTGAAATACTCTTTTTGTGGGATTTCCAAGTGGATATTTAGAGCCGTTTGGGGCCTGTGGTAGAGAAGGAATTATCTTCATAGAAAACCTAGACAGAATCATTCTCAGAAACTACTTTCTAATGTGTGCATGCAGCTTACAGACTTTAACCTTTCTTTTGATAGATCAGTTTTGTAACTCTCTTTTTGTGGACTTTGCAAGTGTATATTTAGAGCGCTTTGAGGCCTATGGTAGAAAAGGAAATATCTTCCCATTAAAACTAGACAGAAGCATAGTCAGAAACTACTTTGTGATATCTGCATTCAACTCACAGTGTTGAACATTTCTTTCGATAGAGCAGTTTTGATACTCTCTTTTTGTAGAATTTCCAGGTGGATATTTAGCGCCGTTTGAGGCCGATGGAATAAAAGGCAGTATCTTCATAGAAAAACTAGACAGAAAGATTCTCAGAAACTACTTTGTGATGTGTGCATTCAACTCACAGAGTTTAACCTTTCTTTTGATAGAGCAGTTTTTAAACACTCTTTTTGTAGAATCTGCAAGTGAATATTTGGATTTTTTAGAGGCCATTTTTGAAAATGGAGTTTCTTCATATAAAACTTGACAGAAGAATTATCAGAATCTACTTTGTGATGTGTGCTTTCAACTCACAGTGTTGAACCTTCCTTTCGATAGAACGGTTCTGAAATACTCTTTTTGTAGAATTTCCAAGTGGCTATTTAGCGCCGTTTGAGGCCTACGGTAGAAAAGGAAATATCATCACATAAAAACAAGACAGAATGATTCTCAGAAACTGCTTTGTGCTGTGTGCGTTCAACTCACAGTATTTAAACTTTCTTTTCATACGGCAGTTTTAAAACACTCTTTTTGCAGAATCTGCAATTGAATATTTACACTTTTATGAGGCGTTCGTTGGAAACGGCATTTCTTCATATAAAACTTGGCAGAAGAATTCTCAGAAACTTCTTTTTCATGTGTGCGTTCAACCCAGAGAGTTGAACCGTCCTTATGATAGAGCAGTTTTGGAATACTCTTTTTGTAGGATTTCCAAGTGGATATTTAGAGCGGATAGATGCCTATGGAAGAAAAGGAAATATCTTCATACAAAACCTAGACAGAATCATTCTCAGAAACTAATTAGTTATGTGTGCATTCAGCTTACAGAGTTTAACCTTTCCTGTGGTAGAGTAGTTTTGTAACACTATTTTTGTGGAATTTTCAAGTGTATATTTAGAGCGCTTTGAGGCCTACTGTAGAAAAGGAAATATCTTCACATTAAAACTAGACAGAAGCATTGTCAGAAACTACTTTGTGATATTGGCATTCAACTCACAGAGTTGAACCTTCCTCCTGATAGAGCAGTTTTGAAACACTATTTTTGTAGAATCTGCAAGTGGATATTTGGACTTCTTTGTGGCCTTCCTTTGAAAGGTGATTTCATCATATAAAACTGGACAGAAGAATTCTCAGAAACTTCTTTGTGATGTGTGATTTCAACTCTCAGAGTTGAACCTTTCTTTTGATAGAGCAGTTTGGAAACTCTCTTTTTGTAGGATTTCCAAGTGGATATTTAGTGCCATTTGAGGCCTATGGTAGAAAAGGCAATATCTTCATAGAAAAACCAGACAGAATGATTCTCAGAAACTACTTTGTGATGTGTGTATTCAACTCACAGAGTTTAACTTTGCTTTCGATAGAGGAATACTGAAACACTCTTTTTGTAGAATCTGTAAGTGGATATTTGGACCTCTATGTGGCCTTCATTTGAAACGTGATTTCTTCATGTAAAACAAGACAGAAGAATTCACAGAAACTTCTTTCTTTGTTACGTGTGCTTTCAACTCACAGAGCTGAAACTTCCTTTCGATACAGCAGTTATGAAACTCTCTTTTAGTGGGGTATCCAAGTGGATATTTAGCCCCTTTTGAGGCCTATGGTAGAAAAGGCAATATCTTCACAGAAAAACAAGAGAGAATGATTCTCAGAAACTTATTTGTGATGTGTGCATTCAAACGCACAAAGTTTACCCTTTCCTTTATAGAAGCAGTATTGAAAACACTCTTTTTGTACAATCTGCAGGTGAATAATTGGACTTTTTTGAGGCCATCATTGGAAACGGCATTTCTTCATATAGGACTTGTCAGAAGAATTCTCAGACACTTCTTTGTGATGTGTGCATTCATCTCACAGAGTTTAACCTTTCTTTTCATAGAGCAGATTTGAAACACTCTTTTTGTGGAATTTGCAAGTGTATATTTAGAGCGCTTTGTGGCCTACTGTAGAAAAGGTAATATCTTCACATAAAAACAAGACAGAAGCATTGTCAGAAACTACTTTGTGATATTTGCATTCAACTCACAGAGTTGAACATTCCTCTTGATAGAGCAGTTTGAAACACTCTTTTTGTAGAAAATACAAGTGGATATTTGGACCTGTTTGTGGCCTTCCTTTGAAAAGTGATTTCTTCATATAAAACTAGACAGAAGAATTGTGAGGAACTTTTTTGTGATGTGTGCTTTCAACTCACAGAGTTGAACCTTCCTTTCGATAGAGCAGTTTTGAAATACTCTTTTTTTAGAATTTCCAAGTGGATATCTAGAGCCGTTTGAGGCGTACAGTAGAAAAGGATATATCTGCGAAGAAAAATTAGTCAGAATCATTCTCAGAAACTACTTTGTGATGTGTGCATTCAGCTCACAGAGTTGAACCTTTCTTTTTTAGAGCAGTTTTGGAACACTCTGTTTGTGGAAATTGCAAGTGTATATTTAGAGCGATTTGAGGCCTACGATAGAAAAGGAAATATCTTTACATAAAAACTAGACAGAATCTTTGTCAGAAACTACTTTGTGATATTAGCATTCAACTCACAGAGTTGAACATTCTTCTTCATGGAGCAGATTTTAAACACTCTTTTTGTAGAATCTGCAAGTGGATATTTGTACCACCTTGTGGCGTACTTTTGAAACGTGGTTTCTTCATATAAAAATAGACAGAAGAATTCTGAGGAACATATTTGTGATGTGTGCTTTCAACTCAAAGGGTTGAAACTTCCTTTCGATGGAGCAGTTTTCACACTCTCTTTTTTTTTAGGATTTCCCAGTGTATATTTGGCACCGTTTGAGGCCTATGGTAGAGAAGGCAATATCTTCATAAAAAAATTGGACAGAATGATTCTCAGAAACTACTTTTTGATGTCTGCGTTCAATTCAGAGAATTTAACCTTTCTTTTGATAGAGCAGTTTTGAAACACACTTTTTGTAGCATCTGCAAGGGAATATTTGGACTTTTTTACGGCCTTAGTTGGAAACGGGATTTCTTCATATAAAACTTGACAAAAGAATTCGCAGACACTTCTTTGTGATGTGCGCATTGAACTCACAGAGTTGAACCTTCCTTTCCATAGAGCAGTTTTGAAGTACTGTTTTTGTAGAATTTCCAAGTGGATATTATTTAGAGCGGTTTGAGGCGTATGGTAGAAAAGGAAATATCTTCATTGAAATCTAGACAGAATCATTCTCAGAAACTACTTTGTGATGGGCGCATTCAGCTTACAGAGTTTAACCTTTCTTTTCATAGAACAGTTTTGAAACACTCTTTTTGTGGAAATTGCAAGTGTATATTTTGAGTGCTTTGAGGCCTACGGTGGAAAAGGAAATATCTTCACATAAAAACTAGACAGAAGCATTGTCAGAAACTACTATGTGATATTTGCATTCAACTCACAGAGTTGAACATTCCTCTTGATAGAGCAGTTTTGAAACACTCTTTTTGTAGAATCTACAAGGGGATTTTGGGACCTCCTTGTGGCCTTCTTTTGAAAAGTGATTTCTTCATATAAAACTAGACAGAAGAATTCTCAGAAACTTCTTTGTGAGGTGTGCGTCCAAATCAAAAGGGTTTAACCTTTCTGTTGATAGAGCAGTTTTGAAACAATCTTTTTGTAGAATCTGCAAGTGAATATTTGGACTTTTTTGAGGCCTTCTTTGGAAATGGGATTTCTTCATATAAGACTTGTCAGAAGAATTCTCAGAAACTTCTTTGTGATGTGTGCATTCAACACACAGAGTCGAAACTTCCTTTCGATAGAGCACTTTTGAAATAATCTTTTTGTAGAATTTCCAAGTGGATATTTTGAGTGGTTTGAGGCCAATGATTGAAAAGGGAATATTTTCATTAAAAAACTAGACAGAATCATTCTCAGAAACTACTTTGTGATGGGTGCATTCAGCTTACAATGTTTAACCATTCCTTTGACAGAGCAGTTTTGAAACACTCTTTTTGTGATATTTGGAAGTGTACATTCAGAGGGCTTTGAGGCCTACGGTAGAAAAGGAAATAACTTCACATAAAAATTAGACAGAAGCATTGTCAGAAACTAATTCGCAATATTTGCATTCAACTCACAGTGTTGAACATTGCTCTTCATAGAGCAGTTTTGAAACTCTTTTTTTGTAGAATATGCAAGTGGATATTTGGACCTTTTTGTGGCCTTCGTTTGAAAAGTTATTTCTGCATATAAAACTAGAAAGAATAGTTCTCAGAAATTCTTTGTGATGTGTGCTTTCAACTCACCGAGTTGTACTTTCCTTTGTATGGAGCAGTTCTGAAACACTATTTTTGTATAATTTCCTAGTGGATATTTAGCACCGTTAGAGGCCAATTTTAGAAAAGGCAATATCTTCATAGGAAAACTAGAGAGAATGATTCTCTGAAACTACTTTGTGATGTGTGCGTTCAATTCACAGAGTTTAATCTTTCTTTTGATAGAGCAGTTTTGAAACACACTATTTGTAGAATCTGCAAGTTAATATTTGGACTTGTTGAGGTCTGCGTTGGAAATGGAATTCCTTCAAATAAAACTGGACAGAAGAATTCTCAGAAACATCTTTGTCATGTGTGCATTCAACTCACAGAGTTAAAACTTCCTTTCGATAGAGCAGTTTTGAAACACTCTTTTTTTAGAATTTCCAGGTGGATATTTACAGCAGTTTGAGGCTGTGGTAGAAAAGGAAATATCTTCATAGAAAAACTGGACAGAATCATTTTCAGAAATTACTTTGTGATGTGTGCATTAACCTTACAAATGTTAACGTTTCTTTTAATAGAGCAGTTTTGAAACATTATTTTGTGGAATATCCAAGTGTACATTTAGACTGCTTTGAAGTCTACGGTAGAAAAGGAAATATTTTCAAATAGATACTTGACAGAAGCATTGTCGGAAACTATTTTGTGATATTTGCATTCAACACACAGAATTGAGCATTCCTCTTGAGAGAGCAGTTTCGCAACACTCTTTTTATAGAATCTGCTGGTGGATATTTGGACCTCTTTGTGGCCTTCGTTTGAAACGTGACTTCTTCATTTAAAACTAGACAGAAGAGTTCTCAGAAACTTCTTTGTGACGTGTGCTTTCAACTCACAGAGTTGAACCTTCCTTTCATAGAGCAGTTTTGAAACTCTCTTATTGCAGAATTTCCAAGTGGTTAATCAGCGCCATTTGAGGCCTAAGGTAGAAAAGGCAATACATTCATAGAAAAACTAGGCAGAATATTTCTCAGAAAGTACAATATGATGTGTGTGTTCAACTCAAAGAGTGTAACTTTTCTTTTGATAGAGCAGATTTGAAACAATCTTTTTGGAGAATTTGCAAGTGAATATTTGGACTTTTTTGAGGTCTTCGTTGAAAACGGGATTTCTTCATATGAAACTTGACAGAAGAATTCTCAGAAACTTCTTTGTGATGGCTGTATTCAAGTCACAGTGTTGGACCTTCCGTTCGGTAGAGCAGTTTTGAAATGCTCTTTTTGTAGAATTTCAAAGTGTATATACAGAGCGGTCTGAAGCCTGTGTAGAAAAGGAAATATCTTCATAGAAAAAATTAACAGAATCACTCTCAGAAACTACTTTGTGATGTGTGCATTCAGCTTCCAGAGTTTAACCTTTCTTTTGATAGAGCAGTTTTGAAACACGCTTTTTGTGGAATTTGCAAGTGTATATTTAGAGCGCTTTGAGGCTTACGGTAGAAAAGGAAATACCTTCACATAAAAACAAGACAGAAGCATTGTTAGAAACTACTTTGTGATATTTGCATTCAAGTCACAGAGTTGAACATTCCTCTTCATAGAGCAGTTTTGAAACACTCTTTTTTTTTTTTATTATACTTTAAGTTTTAGGGTACATGTGCGTATTGTGCAGGTTAGTTACATATGTATACATGTGCCATGCTGGTGCACTGCACCCACTAACTGGTCATCTAGCATTAGGTATATCTCCCAATGCTATCCCTCCCCCCTCCCCCCACCCCACCACAGACCCCAGAGTGTGATATTCCCCTTTCTGTGTCCATGTGATATCATTGTTCAATTCCCACCTATGAGTGAGAATATGCAGTGTTTGGTTTTTTGTTCTTGCGATAGTTTACTGAGAATGATGATTTCCAATTTCATCCATGTCCCTACAAAGGACATGAACTCATCATTTTTTATGGCTGCATAGTATTCCATGGTGTATATGTGCCACATTTTCTTAATCCAGTCTATCATTGTTGGACATTTCGGTTGGTTCCAAGTCTTTGCTATTGTGAATAATGCCGCAATAAACATACGTGTGCATGTGTCTTTACAGTAGCATGATTTATAGTCCTTTGTGTATATACCCAGTAATGGTATGGCTGGGTCAAATGGTATTTCTAGTTCTAGATCCCTGAGGAATCGCCACACTGACTTCCACAATGGATGAACTAGTTTACAGTCCCACCAACAGTGTAAAAGTGTTCCTATTTCTCCACATCCTCTCCAGCACCTGTTGTTTCCTGACTTTTTAATGATTGTCATTCTAACTGGTGTGAGGTGATATTTCATAGTGGTTTTGATTTGCATTTCTCTGATGGCCAGTGATGATGAGCATTTTTTCATGTGTTTTCTGGCTGCATAAATGTCTTGTTTTGAGAAGCGTCTGTTCATGTCCTTCGCCCACTTTTTGCTGGGGTTTTTTGTTTTTTTCTTGCAAAAATCCTCAATAAAATACTGGCAAACTGAATCCAGCAGCACATCAAAAAGCTTATCCACCATGATCAAGTGGGCTTCATCCCTGGGATGCAAGGCTGGTTCAATATACACAAATCCATAAATGTAATCCAGCATATAAACAGAGCCAAAGAGAAAAACCACATGATTATCTCAATAGATGATGCAGAAAAAGCCTTTGACAAAATTCAACAAACCTTCATGCTAAAAACTCTCAATAAATTAGGTATTGATGGGACGTATTTCAAAATAATAAGAGCTATCTATGACAAACCCACAGCCAATATCATACTGAATGGGCAAAAACTGGAAGCATTCCCTTTGAAAACTGGCACAAGACAGGGATGCCCTCTCTCACCACTCCTATTCAACATAGTGTTGGAAGTTCTGGCCAGGGCAATTAGACAGGAGAAGGAAATAAAGGGTATTCAATTAGGAAAAGAGGAAGTCAAATTGTCCCTGTTTGCAGATGACATGATTCTATATCTGGAAAACCCCATTGTCTCAGCCCAAAATCTCCTTAAGCTGATAAGCAACTTCAGCAAAGTCTCAGGATACAAAATCAATGTACAAAAATCACAAGCATTCTTATACACCAACAACAGACAAACAGAGAGCCAAATCATGAGTGAACTCCCATTCACAATTGCTTCAAAGAGAATAAAATACCCAGGAATCCAACTTACAAGGGATGTGAAGGACCTCTTCAAGGAGAACTACAAACCACTGCTCAAGGAAATAAAAGAGGATACAAATAAATGGAAGAACATTCCATGCTCATGGGTAGGAAGAATCAATATCGTGAAAATGGCCATACCGCCCAAGGTAATTTACAGATTCAATGCCATCCCCATCAAGCTACCAATGACTTTCTTCACAGAATTGGAAAAAACTACTTTAAAGTTCATATGGAACCAAAAAAGAGCCCGCATCACCAAGTCAATCCTAAGCCAAAAGAACAAAGCTGGAGGCATCACACTACCTGACTTCAAACTATACTACAAGGCTACAGTAACCAAAACAGCATGGTACTGGTACCAAAACAGAGATATAGATCAATGGAACAGAACAGAGCCCTCAGAAATAACGCCGCATAACTACAACTATCTGATCTTTGACAAACCTGAGAAAAACAAGCAATGGGGAAAGGATTCCCTATTTAATAAATGGTGCTGGGAAAACTGGCTAGCCATATGTAGGAAGCTGAAACTGGATCCCTCCCTTACACCTCATAGAAAAATCAATTCAAGATGGATTAAAGATTTAAACGTTAGACCTAAAACCATAAAAACCCTAGAAGAAAACCTAGGCATTACCATTCAGGACATAGGCATGGGCAAGGACTTCATGTCTAAAACACCAAAAGCAATGGCAACAAAAGACAAAATTGACAAATGGGATCTAATTAAACGAAAGAGCTTCTGCACAGCAAAAGAAACTACCATCAGAGTGAACAGGCAACCTACAACATGGGAGAAAATTTTCGCAACCTACTCATCTGACAAAGGGCTAATATCCAGAATCTACAATGAAACACTCTTTTTGCAGAATCTGCAAGTGGATATTTGGACCTCTTTGTGGCCTTCGTTTGAAACCTGATTTCTTCATATAAATCTAGACAGAAGAATTCTCAGAAACTCCTTTGTGATGTATGCTTTGAACTCACAGAGTTCAACCTTCCTTTCAATAGAGCAGTTATGAAACTCTCTTTTTGTTGAATTTCCAATTGGATATTAAGCACTGTTTGAGGCCTATGGTAGAAATGGCAATATCTTCATAGAAAAACTAGACAGAATGATTCTCAGAAACTACTTTGTGGTGTGTACGTTCAGCTCACAGAGTTTAACCTTTCTTTTGTTAGAGCAGTTTTGAAACACTCTTTTTGTGGAATTTGCAAGTGTATATTTAGAGCGCTTTGAGGCCTACGGTAGAAAAGGAAATATCTTCACATAAAAACTAGACAGAAGCATTGTCAGAAACTACTTTGTGATATTTGCATTCAATTCACAGAGTTGAAGTTTCCTCTTGATAGAGCAGTTTTGAAACACTCTTTTTGCAGAATCCGAAAGTGGATATTTGGACCTCTTTGTGGCCTTCGTTTGAAACGTGATTTCTTTACATAAAACTAGACAGAAGAATTATCAGAAACTTCTTCTTTGTGATGTGTGCTTTCAAATCACAGAGATGAACTTTCCTTTCGATAGAGCAGTTTTGAAACTTTGTTTTTGTAGAATTTCCAAGTGGATATTTAGCACCGTTTGAGGCCTATGGTAGAAAAGGCAATATCTTCATAGAAAAACTAGACAGAAGTATTGTCAGAAACTACTGTGTGATATTTGCATTCAACTCACAGAGTTGAACATTCCTCTTGATAGAGCAGTTTTGAAACACTCTTTTTGTAGATTCTGCAAGTGGAATATTGGACCTCTTTGTGGCCATCGTTTGAATCATGATTTCTTCATATAAAACTAGACGGAAGATTTATCAGAAACTTCTTTGAGTTGTGTGCTTTCAACTCACAGAGTTGAACCTTCCTTCGGTACAGCAGTTTTGAAACTCAATTTTTGTAGAATTTCCTAGTGGATATTTAGCGCCGTTTAAGGCCATTGATAGAAAAGGAAATAATTTCACAGAAAAACCAGACAGAATGATTCTCAGAAACTACTTTCTGGTGTGTGCCTTCAACTCAAAGCGTGTAACTTTTCTTTTGATAGAGCACTTTTGAAACACTATTTCTGTAGAATCTGCAAAGGAATGTTTGGACTTTCTTGAGGCCTTCGTTGGAAAGGGATTTCTTCATAGAAAAGTTGACAGAAGAATTCTCAGAAACTTCTTTGTGATTTGTGCATTCAACTCACAAACTTGAACTTCCTTTTGATACAGCAGTTTTTAAATACTCATTTTGTAGAATTTCCAAATGTATATAGAGCCGTCTGAGGCCTGTGGTAGAAAAGGAAATATCTTCATAGAAAAAGTAGAGAGAATCATTCTCAGAAACTACTTTGTGATGTGTGTATTCAGCTTACAGAGTTTAACCTTTCTTTTGATAGAGCGGTATTGAAATACTCTTTCTGTGGAATTTGGAATTGTATACTTAGAGCGCTTTGAGGCCTATGGTAGAAAAGGAAATATCTTCACATAAAAACTAGACAGAAGCTTTGTCGGAAACTACTTTGTGATATTTGCATTCAACTCACAGAGTTGTACGTTCTTCTTGATAGAGCAGTTTTAAAACACTCTTTTTGTAGAATCTGCAAGTGGATATTTGGACCTCTTTGTGGCCTTCCTTGGAAATGTGATTTCATCATATAAAACTAGGCAGAAGAATTATCAGAAACTTCTTTGTGATGTGTGCTTTCAACTCACAGGGTTGAACCTTCCTTTCGATAGAACAGTTTTGTAACTCCCATTTTCCAGAATTTCCAAGTGGATATATAGCACTGTTTGAGGCCTATGATAGAAAAGGAAATATCTTCATTGAAAAACTAGACAGAATAATTCTCAGAAACTACGTTGTGGTGTATGCTTTCAACTCACAAAGTTTAACTTTCTTTTGATAGAACAGTTTTGAAACACTCTTTTTGTATAATCTACAAGTGGATATTTGGACTTTTTAGAGGCCTTCGTTGGAAACGGGATTTCTTCATATAAAAGTTCACAGAAGAATTCTGAGACACTTCTTTGTGATGTGTGCATTCAACTCACAGAGTTGAACCTTCCTTTCGATAGAGCAGTTTTGAAATACTCGTTTTGTAGAATTTCCAAGTGGATATTTAGAGCGGTTTGAGGCCTATGGTGGAAAAGGAAATATCTTCATAGAAAAACTAGACAGAATCATTCTCCGAAACTTCTTTGGGATGTGTGCATTCAGCTTACAGAGTTTAACCTTTCTTTTAATAGAGCAGTTTTGAAACACTCTTTTTGTAGAATTTGCGATTGTATATTTAGAGCGTTTTGATGCCTATGGTAGGAAAGGAAAAATCTTCACATAAAAAAATAGATGGAAGCATTGTCAGAAACTAATTTGTGATATTTGCATTCAACTCACAGAGTTGAACATTCCTCTTGATGGAGCAGTTTTGAAACACTCTTTTTGTAGAATATGTAAGTGGATATTAGGACCTCTTAGTGGCCTTCTTTTGAAACGTTATTTCTGCAGTTGCAACTAGACAGAAGAGTTTTCAGAAACTACTTCGTGATGTGTGCTTTCACCTCACAGAGTTGAAGCTTCCTTTCAATAGGGCAGTTTTTAAACTCTCTTTTTGTAGAATTTCCAAGAGTTTATTAAGCGCCTTTTGAAGCCTATGGTAGAAAAGGCAATATCTTCATAGAAAAACTAGACAGAATGATTCTCAGAAACTACTTTGTGATGTTTGCGCTCAAGCCACAGAGTTTAAACTTTGTTTTGATAGAGGAGTTTTGAAACACTCTTTTGTAGAATCTGCAAGTGAATATTTGGACTTTTTTGAGGCCTTCTTTGGAAACGGGATTTCTTCGTATAAAACGTGACAGAAGAATTCTCAGAAACTTCTTTGTGATGTATGAATTCAACTCACAGAGTTGAACATTCCTTTCAATAGAGCTGTTTTGAAATACTATTTTGTAGAATTTCCAAGTGGATATTTGGACCACTTTGTGGCCTTCCTTTGAAACATGATTTCTTAATACAAAACAAGACGGAAGAATTCTCAGAAACTATTTTGTGATGTTTGCTTTCAACTCACAGAGTTGAAGCTTCCTTTCGATAGAGCAGTTTTGAAATTCACTTTCTGTAGAATTTCCAAGTGGATATTTAGCACTGTTTGAGGCCTATTGTAGAAAAGGCAATGTCTTCAGAGAAAAACTGGACAGAATGGTTCTCAGAAACTACTTTGTGATGTTTCCTTTCAACTCACAGAGTTTAACCTTTCTTTTGCTAGAGCAGTTTTGAAATACTCTTTTTGTAGGATCTGCAAGTGAATATTTGGCCTTTTTTGAGGCATTCTTTGGAAACGAGATTTCTTCATATAAAACTTGAAAAAAGAATTCTAAGAAAATTCTCTGTGATGTGTGCATTTAACTCTCAGAGTTGAACATTCCTTTCGATAGAGCAGTTTTGATAGAATCTTTTTGTAAAATTTCCAAGTAGATATTTAGATCGGTTTGATGCCTACGGTAGAAAAGTAAATATCTTCATAAAAAAAATAGACAGAATCATCCTCGGAAACTAATTTGTGATGTGGGCATTCAGCTAACAGAGTTTATCCAATGTTTTTATAGAGCAGTTTTGAAACACTCCTTTTTCTAATTTGCAACTGTATATTTAGAGTGTTTTGAGGCTTACGGTAGGAAAGGAAAAATCTTTACATAAAAACTAGACAGAAGCATTATCAGAAACTACTTTGTGATATTTGCATTCAACTCAGAGAGTTGAACATTACACTTGATGGAGCAGTTTTGAAACACTGTTTTGTTGAATCTTCAAGTGGATATATGGGCCTCTTTGTGGCCTTCCTTTGAAACGTGATTTCTTCATTTACAACTCGACAGAACAATTCTCAGAAACTTCTCAGTGGTGTGTGCTTTCTACTCACAGATTTGAAGCTTCCATTCTTCAGAGCAGTTTTGAAACTCTCTTTCTGTAGAATTTCCAAGTGAATATTTAGCCCCGTATGAAGCTTATGGTAGAAAATGCAACATCTTCATAGAAAAACTAGACAGAATGATTCTCAGAAACTACTTTGTGATGTGTGCGTTCAACTCACAGAGGTTAAACTTTCCTTTGATAGAGCAGTTTTGAAACACTCTTTTTGTACAATCTGCAAGTGAATATTTGAACTGTTTTGAGGCCTTCGTTGGAAACGGGATTTCTTCATATAAAACTTGACAGAAGAATTCTCAGAAACTTCTTTGTGATGTGTGCATTCAACTCACAGAGTTGAACCTTCCCTTCGATAGAGCAGTTTTGAAATTCTGTTTTTGTAGAATTTCCAAGTGGATATTTAGAGTGGTTAGAGGCATATGGTAGAAAAGTAAATATCTTCATAGAAAAAGTAGAGAGAATCATTCTCAGAAACTACCTTGTGATGTCTGCATTCAGGTTAAAGAATTTAACGTTTCTTTTGATAGAGCAGGTTTAAAGTACTCTTTTTGTGGAATTGGTAGTGTATAATTAGAGTGCTTTGAGTCCTACGGTAGGAAAGAAAATATCTTCACATAAAAAATAGACAGAAGCATTATCAGAAACCAATTTGTGATATTTGCATTCAACTCACAGAGTTGAACATTCCTCTTGATGGAACAGATTTAAAACACTCTTTTTGTAGAATCTGCAAGTGGATATTTGGACCTCTTTGTGGCCTTCCTTGGAAATGTGATTTCTTCATATAAAACTAGACAGTAGAATTATCAGAAACTTCTTTGTGATGTGTCCTTTCAACACACATAGTTGAACCTTCCTTTCGATAGAGCAGTTTTGACAGTCTCTTTTTGCAGTATTTCCAAGTGGATATTTAGCGCTGTTTGAGGCCTATGGTAGCAAAGGCAATATCTTCATAGAAAACAAGACAGAATCATTCTCCAAAACTACTTCGTGATGTTTGCATTCAACTCACCGAGTTTTACCTTTCTTTTGATAGAGCAGTTTTGAAACCTTCTTTTTGTAGAATCTGCAAGTGAATATTTGGACTTTTTTGAGGCCTTCATTGGAAACGGGATTTCTTCATAGAAAACTTGACAGAAGAATTCTCAGAAACTTCTTCGTGATGTGTGCATTCAACTCTCTGATTTGAACCTTCCTTTCGATAGAGCAGTTTTGAAATACTCTTTTTGTAGAATTTCCAAATGGATAGTTAGAGCGGTTTCAGACCTATGGTAGAAAGGGAAATATCTTCATACAAAAACTAGACAGAAACTTTCTCTGAAACTACTTTGTGATGTACGCATTCAGCTTAGACTGTTTAAACTTTCTTTTGGTAGAGCAGTTTTAAACAGTCTTTTTGTGGAATTTGCAAGTGTATATTTAGAGCGCTTAGAGGCCTACGGTGGAAAAGGAAATATCTTCACATAAAAACTACACAGAAACATTGTCAGAAACTACTTTGTGATATTTGCATTCTACTCACTTAGTTGAATATTCCTCTTGACAGAGCAGTTTTGAAACACTCTTTTTGTAGAATCTACATATGGATATTTGGACCTCTTTGAGGCCTTCGTTAGAAACGTGATTTCTTCATGTAAAACTAGACAGAATAATTCTCAGAAACTTCTTTGTGATGTGAGCTTTCATCTCACCGATTTGAACCTTCCTTTCGATAGAGGAGTTTTGAAACTCTCTTTTTGTAGAATTTCCGAGTGGATATTTAGTGCCTATTGAGGCCTATGGTAGAAAAGGCAATATCTTCATAGAAAAAGTAGACAGAATGATTCTCAGAAACTACTCTGTGATGCGTGCGTTCAACTCAGAGAGTTTAAACATTATGTAGACAGAGCAGTTTTGAAACTCTCTTTTTGTAGAATCTGCAAGTGAATATTAGGACTTTTTTGAGGCCTTCGTTGGAAACGGGATTTCTTCATATAAAACTTGTCAGAAGATTTCTCAGAAACTTCTTTGTGATGTGTGCATTCAACTCATAGAAGTAAAACTTCCTTTCGATAGATCAGTTTTGAAATTCTCTTTTTGTAGAATTTCCGATTGGATATTTAGAGCGGCTTGACGCCTATGCTAGAAAAGGAAATATCTTCATAGAAAAACTAGACAGAATCATTCTCAGAAACTACCTTTTGATGTGTGCATTCAGCTTATGGAGTTTAACATTTTTTTTGATAGAGCAGTTTTAAACAGTCTTTTTGTGGAATTTGCAATTGTATATTTATAGTGCATTGAGGCATACGGTAGAAAAGGAAATATCTTCACATAAAAACTAGACAGAAGCATTGTCAGAAACTACTTTGTGATATTTGCATTCAACATACAGGGTTGAACATTCCTCTTGATCGAGCAGATTATAGACACTCCTTTTTCAGAATCTACAAGTGGATATTTTTACCTCTTTGTGGCCGTCGTTTGAAACGTGATTTCTTCATTTAAAACTAGACAGAAGAATTCTCAGAAATCTCTTTGTGATGTGTGCTTTCAACTCAAATATTTGAACATTCCTTTCGATAGAGCAGTTTTGATTCTCTACTTTTGTAAAATTTCCAAGTGGATATTTAGCGCCATTTGAGGCCTATGGTAGAGAAGGCAATATCTTCACAGAAAAACTAGTCAGAATGATTCTCAGAAACTACTTTGTGATGTGTGCGTTGAACGCACGGAGTTTAAGCTTTCTATTGATAGAGCAATTTTGAAACACTGTTTTTGTAGAATCTGCAATTGAATATTTGGGGTTTTTTGAGGCCTTCGTTGGAAACGGGATTTCTTCATATAAAACTTGACAGAGGAATTTGCAGAAACTACTTTGTGATGTGTGCATTCAACTAACAGAGTTGACACTTCCTTTCGAATGTGAAGTTTTGAAATACTCTTTTTGTAAAATTTCCAAGTGTATATTCAGATCGGTTTGAGGCCTATGGTAGAAAAGGTAATATCTTCATAAGAAAACCAGACAGAATCATTCTCAGAAACTACTTTGTGATGTGTGCATTTAGCTTACAGAGTTTAACCTTTCCTTTGATAGAGCAGTTTTGAAACACTCTTTTTGTGGGATTTGCAAGTGTATATTTAGAGCGCTTTGAGGCCTACGGTAGAAAAGGAAATATCTTCCAATAACAACTAGACAGAAGGGATGTCAGAATCTCCTTTGTGTTATTTGCATTCAACTCACAGAGTTGAACATTGCTCTTGATAGAGCAGTTTTTAAGCACTCTTTTTGCACAATCTACAAATGGATATTTGGACCTCTTTGTGGCCTTCGTTTGAAACGTGATTTCTTCATTTACAACTAGACAGAAGAATTCTCAGAAACTTCTTTGAGATATGTGCTTTCAACTCCCAGAGTTGAATCTTCCTTGCGATAGAGTATTTTTGAAATTGCCGTTTTGCAGAATTTACAAGTGGATACTTATTGCCGTTTGAGGCATGTGGTAGAAAACGCAATATCTTCAGAGAAAAACCAGACAGAATGATTCTCAGAAAATACTTTGTGATGTGTGCATTCAACTCCTAGTGTTGAACCTTCCATTCGATAGAGCGGTTTTGAAACACTCTTTTTGTGGAATTTGCAAGTGTATATTTAGAGCGGTTTAGGGCCTACGTTAGAAAAGGATATATAGTCACATAAAAACTAGGCAGAATCATTGTCAGAAACTACTTTGTGATATTTGCGTTAAACTCACAGAGTTGAACTTTCCTCTTGATAGAGAAGTTTTGAAACACTCTTTTTGTAGAATCTGCGAGTGGATATTTGGACCTCTTTGGGCTCTCGTTAGAAATGTGATTTCTTCATATAAAACTACACAGAAGAATTCTCAGAAACTTCTTTGTGATGTGTGCTTTCCACTCACAGAGTTGAACCTTCTTTCGATAGAGCAGTTTAGAAACTCTCCTTTTGTAGTATTTCCAAGTGGATATCTAGCGCCATTTGAGGAATATGGTAGAAAAGGCAATATCTACATATAAAAACTGGACAAAATGATTCTCAGAAACTACTTTGTGAAGTGTTCATTCAACTCACAGAGTTTCACATTTCTTTTGATAGAGCAGTTTTGAAACACTCTTTTTGTAGTATCTACAACTAAATATTTGGACTTTTTGAGGCCTTCCTTGGAAAGGGGATTTCTTCATATGAAACTTGACAGAAGAATTCTCAGAAACTTCTTTGTGATGTGTGCGTTCAACTCACAGATTTGAACCTTCCTTTCGATAGAGCAGTTTTGAAATACACTTTTTGCAGGATTTCTAAGTGGATACTTTTAGTGGTTTTCAGGCCTGTGGTAGAAAAGGAAATATCTTCTTAGAAAAACTAGACAGAATCATTCTGAGAAACTGCTTTGTGTTGTGTGCATTCAGCTTAAAAAATTTAACCTTTCTTTTGATAGAGCTGTTTTGAAACACTCTTTTTGTGGTATTTGTAAGTGTATATTTAGAGTGCTTTGAGGCCTACTGTAGAAAAGGAAATATCTTCACAAAAAAACTAGACAGAAGCATTGTCAGAATCTGCTTTGTGATATTGGCATTCAACTCACAGAGTTGAACATTCCTCTTGATAGATCACTTTAGAAACACTCATTTTGTAGAATCTGCCAGCGGATATTTGGACCTCTCTGTGGACTTCGTTTGAAACGTGATTTCTTCATATAAAATCAGACAGAAGAATTCTCAGAAAGTTATTTCTATTGTGTGATTTCAACTCAGAGAGTTGAACCTTCCTTTCCATAGAGCAGTTTTGAAACTCTTTTTGTAGAATTTCTAAGTGGATATTTATTGCCGTTTGATGCCTATGGTGGAAAAGGCAATACCTTCATAGAAAAACTAGGCAGAATGATTCTCAGAAACTACTTTGTGATGTGTGCATTCAACTCACAAAAACGAACATTCCTTTCGATAGAGGAGTTTTGAAATACTCTTTTTGTAGAATTTCCAAGTGGATATTTAGAGCGGTTTGAGGCCTGTGATAGAAAAGGAAATATCTTCATAGAAAAACTAGACAGAATCATTCACAGAAAGTACTTTGTGATATGTGCATTCAGCTTACGGAGTTTAATCTTTCTTTTGATAGAGCAGTTTTGAAACACTCTTTTTGTAGAATCTGCAAGCGGATATTTGGACCTCTTTGTGGCCTTCGTTTGAAACGTGATTTCTTCATATAAAACTAGACAGAAGAATTCTCAGAAACTTCTTTGTGATGTCAGCTTTCAACTCCTATTGTTGAAACTTCCGTTTGATAGAGCAGTTTTGAAAATCTCTTTTGGTAGGATTTCCAAGTGGATATTTACCGCCGTTTGAGACCTGTGTTAGAAAAGGCAATATCTTCATAGAAAAACTAGACAGAATGATTCTCAGAAACTACTTTGTGATGTGTGCGTTCAACTCACAGAGTTTAACCTTTCTTTTGATAGAGCAGTTTTGAAACACTCTTTTTGTGGAATTTGCAATTGTATATTTAGAGCGCTTAGAGGAATACTGTAGAAAAGGAATTATCTTCATATAAAAACAAGACAGAAGCATTGACAGAAACTACTACGTGATATTTGCATTCAACTCACAGAGATAAACATTCCTCTAGATAGAGAAATTTTGAAACTTTCTTTTTGTAGAATCTGTAGGTGAATATTTGGACTTTTTGCGTCCTTCATTTGAAACCTGATTTCTTCAAATGAAACATGACAGAAAAATTCTCAGAAACATCTTTGTGATGTGTGCATTCAACTCAAAGATTTGAACATTCATTTCCTTTGAGCAGTTTTGAAATACTCCTTTTGGAGTATTTCCATGTGGACATTTAGAGCGGTTTGAGGCCTGTGGTAGAAAAGGAAGTATCTTCATAGAAAAAGTAGACCGAATCATTGTCAGAAAATACTTTGCAATGTGTGCATTCAGCTTACAGAGATTACACTTTCTTTTGATAGACCAGTTTTGAAACACTCTTTTTCTGGAATCTGCGAGGGGATATTTGGATCTCTTTGTGGCCTTCGCTTGAAATGTGATTTCGTCAAATAAAACTAGACAGAAAAATTCTCAGAAACTTATTGGTGATGTGTGCTTTCATCTCACAGAGTTGAACTTTCCTTTCGATAGAGCAGTTTTAAACTCTCTTTTTGTAGATTATCCAAGTGGATATTTAGTGCCGTTTGAGGCCTATGGTAGAAAAGTTAATATCTTCATAGAAAAATTACACAGAATGATTCTCAGAAACTACATTGTGCTGTGTGCATTCAGCTCACACAGTTTAATCTTTCTTTTGATAGAGCAGTTGTGAAGTACTGTTTTTGTAGAATCTGCAAGTGAATATTTGGACTTCTTGGGGCCTTTGTTGGAAACGAGATTTCTTCATATAAAACGTGACAGAAGAATTCTCAGAAACTGCTTTGTGGTGTGTGCATTCAACTCACAGAATTGAAATTTCCTCTCTATCGAACAGTTTTGATATACTCTTTTTGTAGATTTTCCAAATGGATATTTAGAGCGGTTTGAGGCCTGTGGTAGAAAAGGAAATACCTTCGTAGAAAAACTATACAGAATCATTCACAGAAACTACTTTTTGATGTTTGCATTCAGCTTACAGAGTTTAATCTTTCTTTTGATAGCGCAGTTTTGAAACACTGTTTTTGTAGAATCTGCAAGTGAATATTTGGACTTTTTGGGGGCCTTCGTTGGTCACGGAATTTCCTCATATAAAACGTGAAAGAAGAATTATCAGAAACTTTTTTCTGATGTGTGCATTCAACTCACAGAGTTGAACCTTCCTTTGGATAGAGCAGTTCTGAAGTAGTCTTTTGGTAGTATTTCCAACTGGATATTTAGAGCGGTTGGAGGCCTGTGGTAGAAAAGGAAATATCTTCACAGACAAACTAGACAGAATAATTGTCAGAAACTACTTTGTGATGTGTGCATTCAGCTTACAGAGTTTAACCTTTGTTTTGGTAGAGCAGTTTTGAAACACTCTTTTTGTGGAATTTGCAAGAGTATATTTAGAGCGCTTAGAGGCCTACGGTAGAAAAGGAAATATCTTCACATAAAAAGTAGGCAGAAGCATTGTAAGAAACTACTTTGTGATATTTGCTTACAACTCACCGTGTTGAACATTCCTCTTGATAGAGCAGTTTTGAAACTCTCTTTTTGTAGAATCTGCGAGTGATTTGGACTTCTTTGTGGCCTTCGTTTGAAACGTGATTTCTTCGTATAAAACTACACAGAAGAATTCTCAGAAACTTCTTTGTGACGTGTGCTTTCAACTCAGAGTTGAACCTTCCTTTCCATACAGCAGTTGTGAAACTGTCTTTTTGTAGTATTTCCAAGTGGTTATATAGCGCTGTTTGAGGCCTATGGTAGAAAAGACAATATCTTCATAGAAAAACTAGACAGAATGATTCTCAGAATCTACTTTGTCATGTGTGCGTTCATCTCATAGGGTTTATCTTTTCTTTGATATAGCAGTTTTGAAACACTCTTTTTGTACAATCGGCTATTAAATATTTAGGCTTTTTTGGGGCATCCGTTGGAAACGGGATTTCTTCATTTAAAACGTGACAGAAGAATTCTCAGAAACTCCTTTAGGGTGTGCGCATTCAACTCACATTGTTGAACCTTTCTTTCGATAGAGCAGTTTTGAAATACTCTTTTTGTAGTATTTCCAAGTGGATATTTAGAGTGGTTTGAGGCCTACAGTAGAAAAGGAATTATCTTCAAAAAAAACTAGACAGAATCATTCTCAGAAACGACTTTGTGATGTGTGCATTCAGCTTACAGACTTTAAACTTTCTTTTGATAGAACAGTTTTGAAACACTCTTTTTTTATGGTATTTGCAAGTGCATATCTATAGCGGTTTGAGGACTACGGTAGAAAAGGAAATATATTCAATTAAAAACTAGACAGAAGCATTGTCAGAAACTACTATGTGATATTTACATTCAACTAATGGTGTTGAACATTCGTCTTGATAGATCACTTTGGAAACACTATTTTTGTAGGATCTTCAAGTAAATATTGGGACTTTTTGAAGCCTTCTTTGGAAATGTCATTTCTTCATATAAAACTTGACAGAAGAATTCAGAGACACTTCTTTGAGACTTGTGCATTGAACTCACAGAGTTGAACCTTCCTTTTGATAGAGCAGTTTTGAAATACTCTTTTTGAAGTATTTCCAAGTAGATATTTAGAGCGGTTTGAGGCCTATGGTAAAAAAGGAAATATCTTCTTAGAAAAACTAGACAGAATCATTCTCAGAAACTATTTTGCAATGTGTGCATTCAGCTAACATTGTTTAAGCTTTCTTTTGATAGAGCAGTTCTGAAACACTCTTTTTGTGGAATTTGTAAGTGTATATTTAGAGCGCTTTGAGGCCTACTGTAGAAAAGGAAATATCTTCACGTAAAAAACTAGGCAGAAGAATTGTCAGAAACTACTTTGTGATGTTTGCATTCAACTCACAGAGTTGAACTTTCCTCTTGACAGAGCAGTTTTGAAACTCTCTTTTTGTAGAATCTGCAAGTGGATATTTGGACTTCTTTGTGGCCTTCCTTTGAAACGTGATTTCTTCATATAAAACTAGACAGAAGAATTCTCAGAAATTTTTTGGGATATATGCTTTCAACTCACAGAGTTGAATCTTTCTATCGATAGAGCAGTTTTGAAACTGTCCTTTAGTAGAATTTCCAAGTGGATACTTAGCACCGTTTGAGACCTATGGAAGAAAAGGCAATATCTTCATAGAAAAACTAGACAGAATGATTCTCAGAAACTACTTTGTGATGTATGCGTTCAACGCACAGGGTTTAACGTTTCTTTTGATAGAGCAGTTTTGAAACACACTTTTGGTAGAATCTGCAAGTGAATATTTGGACTTTTTTGAGGCCTTCTTTGGAAACGTGATTTCTTCATATAAAACTATACAGAAGAATTCTCAGAAACTTCTTTGTGATGTGTGCATTCAACTCACAGAGTTGAACCTTCCTTTCGATAGAGCAGTTTTGAAATGCTCTTTTTGTAGAATTTCCATGTGGATATTTATTGCGGTTTGAAGCCTATGGTAGAAATGGAAATATCTTCGTAGAAAAACAAGACAGAATCATTATCAGAACCTAGTTTGTGAAGTGTGCATACAGCTTTCAGAGTTTAACCTTTGTTTTGATAGAGCAGTTATGAAACACTCTTTTTGTGTAATTTCCAAGTATATAGTTAGAGCGCTTTGTGGTCTACCATAGAAAAGGAAATATCTTCACATAAAAACCAGACAGAGGCATTGTCAGAAACTACTTTGTGATATTGGCATTCAACTCACAGAGATGGACATTCCTCTTGATGGTGCAGTTTTAAAACACTCTGTTTGTAGAATCTGCAATTGAATATTTGGACCTCTTTGTGGCGTTCTTTTGAAATGTGATGTCTTCATATAAAACAGGACAGAGGAATTCTCAGAAACTTCTTTGTGATGTGTGTTTTCAACTCACAGTGTTGAACATTCCTTTTGATAGAGCAGTTTTGAAACTCACTTTTTGTAGACCTTACAAGTGGATATTTAGCGCCGTTTGAGGCCTATCGTTGAAAAGGCAATATCTTCATAGAAAAACTAGATAGATAGAATGATTCTCAGAAACTACTTTGTGAGTTGTGCGTTGAACTCAAAGGGTTTAACGTTTCTGTTGATAGATCAGTTTTGAAACAAATTTTTGTGGAATCTGCAAGTGAATATTTGGACTTTTTTGAAGCCTTCGTTGGAAACGGGTTTTCTTCATATAAAATTGAACAGAAGAATTCTCAGAAACTTCTTTGTGATGTGTGCATTCAACTCACAGAGTTGAAACTTCTTTTCGAAAGAGCAGTTTTGAAATACTGTTTTTGTATAATTTCCAAGTGGATATTTAGCTCCGTTTGAGGCCTCTGGTAGAAAAGGAAATAACATCATAGAAAAACTATACAGAATCATTCTCAGAAACTACTTTGTGATGTTTGCATTCAGCTGACAGAGATTAACCTTACTTTTGATAGAGCAGTTTTGAAACCCTACTTTTGTGGAATTTGCAAGTATATATTTAGAGCGCTTTGAAGGCTACGTAGAAAAGGAAATATCTTCACATAAAAACTAAACAGAAGCATTGTCAGAAACTACTTTGTGATATTTGCATTCAACTCACAGAGTTAAACATTCCTCTTGACAGAGCAGGTTGAAATACTCTTTTTGTAGAATCTGCAATTGATTATTT